>NC_000012.12:42005582-42157097 GCF_000001405.40 Homo sapiens | reverse complement strand
AGTCTCAGGTATTCTGTTATAGCAAAAAAAAAAAAGTGGATTGAGATACTTTTTTGCTCTGCTACTTACCTCTTTTCCAGAATCTTTTAAGGACTTGATGTAGGAACTGAGCTATTTAGTAAGTCATTGGTAGAAGTTTCCGCACTGTACTTTGAAAATTAAGTGAAAGCAGAAAAGTGAGTGCGTATGTAAGGAAAATAATAGTAAAAGAACGCTTTGACTTCTTAGCACTCGCCCTCTCCTGTATATCCCCAGGCACCTTCAGTTGTCTGGAACAAAGAATGTAGGAAAAACTGAAGAAATTCAGAACAGTTACCAATGACAAAAATCACTGATCAGAATAAAAAGACAAGGTTACAGAATATACGTTGTTACTGATCATTTTTCAGAAGCAGAAGGAAAAGAATGCCCTCCCTGGCCATTGAGGGTGATAAAAAGTAAGCCCCACTCCTATCACAGGCAATGAAGGACAGGGATGGAAAAAAAAAGTGAAGAAGAAGGGGAAAAAGCAAAAGTTATGAAAAAAATTAGAAAAGGGGACACTGGGATTCAGTCTGGATAATGGTAGAATCACTAGGAAGGGACAGAACAAATAGAACTTACAGCACATAAGTCTCTGGTGACGTTTTAAAAACATGATAAAGCATCTTCATGATGACTCTGTCATTAGCTAAAGTTTAACTTGTGTTTAGTAGACTATTTACTAAGACAGCAGTATGTGTAATACAGAATGATGTTCATCAAAACCAGTTCGCTTTAGGAAGCTGTCACAGAGAAGTTTTACCTTGAATTACAAGGTAATTCAAGACCCACTAAACCTGTGTGTGTTATTTCCACTCCTCAGGAATTCCAGTTGGGGAGGTATCTATTTCACTGGGTCCTTGCCCCAAAAAGTTCCCCCAGGGGTTTATTCTTACAACTTGAAATGAAGGTTTTTTTAAAATATTATTTGGCGTGATTTACACTAGATATATGTGGCCATTTGTAAGAACAAAAGAAAATTATTAACTACTTTCCTGAATGCATTTTCCTACCAGCCCAGATAATTTAAATTTTAAGTATGTAATGTGGAGTTGACCCTTGAACAACATGGGTTTTAACTGCGTGGGTGCACTTACACATGGATTTTCTTCCAACTCTGCCACGTCGAAGACAGCAAAATCAACCATTCCTCTTTTTCCTCAGCCTACTCAACATGAAGACTATGAGGATGAAGACCTTTATGATGATCAACTTCCACTTAATGAATAGTAAATATATTTTTCCTTCCTAATGATTTAACAATTTCTCTAGCTTACTTTGTTGAAGAATACAGTATATAATACATATACAAAATATGTGTTAATTAACTTTATGTTATCAGTAAGGCTTTTGGTCAGCAGTAGGCTATTAGTAGTTACGTTTGCGGGGAGTCAAAAGTTGTATGCGAGTTTTTGACTGCTTGAGGGTTGGTGTGTCTAACCGCCACATTGTTTAAGGGTCAACTGAATTAGGCTTTGTGCTTAGCCAGTGCAGATATTCCTGTCTTTATGGAATAGTCTAATTCTGGAGCATATGAAATGCCATAAGACTAAATACTTCAATGGAAAAAATCAAGTAGCTACCTGGAAGGCTTCGGTGCTCTGGGACATGTTTCACATTCTTAGTCTCCCCTGTTGCTGGGAGTTATGGACTGTAATAGCTATTTCACTGTTGTAATACAGTAAGTATTTTGTTGACTTTGGTTTTATTTACATCAGTATTATTTAATTCAGTGAACACTTATTGAGTATTATTTAATTCAGTGAACACTTACTGAGTATGTATGAATATACATACTCAATAAGATGTGGAATGGCCATCTTAGAGACTGTAAATAATTACAGTGCCATAACTACAATAATAAAAACATGTATGAGATGCAGACAAGAGAGAGTGCTTGCCACCCATTTGTTTCTAGAAAATTCACCTAGGCTAAAGCATCTACTGCAAGTCCACATTGAAAATGTTAGGGCCTCATCTTGATGTTTGAAGCTGATAATTTTGGGTGTCACCAGTAGTTTTAGCCCAACTCCACTTTTATTTACTCCAGCTTGAATTTTTGAAAGTTTAAGACTTTAAGCCATGTAAAGTGAGACAATTTATCATTTTCCTGCACTAATTTTTAAAAAATCATACAACAGCTGAATGAGGTCTGCTATGTCCTTTTTGTAGATGAAGAAGCGTATTACATCACTCTGTCCAAAAGAAATTTTATTCAGATTTATTTCAGAAAGAGCTTTACTTCACCTGAGAAATTGCCTTTTCCTTATGGACAAAGCAGATTATTAATTGGTTGCCCGATATTTTTGCTGTAGTTGTGAGAAATCTCCTATTAAAATTGGGTTCAGGCTGGGTGCGGTGGCTCACACCTGTAATCCCAGCACTTTGGGAGGCCGAGGTGGGCAGATCACCTGAGGTCGGGCGTTCGAGACCAGCCTGGCCAATACGGTGAAACCCCGTCTCTACTAAAAATACAAAAAATTAGCTGGTCATAGTGGCAGGCACCTGTAATCCCAGCTACTTGGGAGACTGAGGCAGGAGAATTGCTTGAAACCAGGAGATGGAGGTGGCAGTGAGCAGAGATCCCACCCCTGCACTCCAGCCTGGGTGACAGAGCGAGACTCCATCTCAAAAAAAAAAAAAAAAAAAAATTGAGTTCAGTTTTAATAATTATGTAGCCTTGGTTGTCTGCTTATCTGCATTCTAACTTTTTAGTCTTTTTTTTAATCAGAGGAAAAGATTTAATATAAAGATTCAAGCTTCACATCATGACAAATAATAAATTGTGAAATATAATTTTTTCTTCTTCTTTTCGTATTTTTTATAAATATTGGGTTTCACAACATTGCCCAGGCTGGTCTTGAACTCCTGGGCTCAAGCCATCCTCTCGAGTTGGCCTCCTAAAGTATTGGGATTATAGGTGTGAGCCATGGAGGCTGGTGGTGGCTCTTTTTCTATTTTAATCTAATTTCTTATTCTTGATCTTTTTTGTATTTTTCCAGAGTTTGATTTTTATCTACTTGTTTTTCTTTTGTTTTTATAAATGGCCACAAATATCTAGTGTAAATCAGGCCAAATAGTATTTAAAAAAAAAATCTTCCTTATTTCAAGTTGTAAGAATAAACTCCTAGGGGAACTATTTGGGGCAAGGATCCAGTGAGATACATACCTCCCCATCTGGAATTCCTGAGGAGTGGAAATAATACATACAGTTTTAGTAGGTCTTTAGATTACATCTAGATTTAAATCGGCTGACCTACCTGGAAGAAGGGAGTTTGGATGAAAGCTACCACCTCATCATCATTTTTCTAATAAATCTTTTAGCAAGAAAATTCAGAAACTAAATGGATATTATTTTCATTATCCTCTTTTAATTCATAATCCAACAATAAAATGGTCCTGTGTTTACTTTTGGAGTCAGCAAGAATGGGAAGAGTTGGAAGGTTATAAAACTAGTTTGGGAGAAGACTTCTAAAGGACAAAGAAAATGACGGTGAACACATTTTGTTTTTTAATTTTTAATTTCTGTGGGTACATAGGTGTATATATTTACAGGGTACATGAGATGTTTTGATACAGACATGTAATGCATAATAATCACATCATGGAGATTGGAGTATCCATCTCCTCAAGCATTTATCCTTTGTGTTACTGACAATCCAATTATACTCTTTTAGTTATTTTTAAATGTACAATTATGTTATCAAATAGAAGGTCTTATTCATTCTATTTTTTTGTACTCATTAACTATCCTCACCACCCCCACCATCTACCCTTCCCAGCCTCTAGTAACCATCCTTCTACTATCTGTCTCCATGAGTTTAACTGTTTTAATTTTTAGATCCCACAAATAAGTGAGAACATGGGATTTTTGTCTTTCTGACCCCGGCTTATTTCACTTAACATAATCATCTCCAGTTCCATCCATGTTGTTGCAAATGACTGGAACTCATGTTTTTTATGGGTGAGTAGTACTCCATTGTTTGTATGTACCACATTTTCTTTATCCAGTCATCTGTTGATGGACATTTACTTTGCTCCCAAATCTTAGCTATTGTAAACAGTGCTGTAATAAACACCAGAGTGCAGATATCTCTTCAATATACTGATTTCCTTTCTTTTGGGTATATACCCAGCAATGGGATTGCTGGATACTATGGTAGCTCAATTTTTAGTTTTTTTTTTGAGGAACCTCCAACCTGTTCTCCATAGTGGTTGTACTAATTTACATTCCCACCAACAATGTACAAGGATTCCCTTTTCTCCACATCCTTGCCAGCATTTGTTATTGCCTGTTTTTTGGATAAAAGTCATTTTAACTGGGGTGAGATGATATCTCATTGTAGTTTTGATTTGCATTTCTCTGATGATCAGTGATCTTGAGCACCTTTTCATATGCCTGTTTGCCATTTGTACATCTTCTTTTGAGAAATGTCTATTCAAACATTTGGCCCATATTTTGATTGGATTATTAGATTTTTTTTTCCTACAGAGTGTTGCTTGAGCTCCTTATATATTCTGGTTATGAATCCCTGGTCAGAGGGGTAGTTTGCAAATATTTTCTCCAATTCTGTGGGTTTCCTCATGTTGTTGTTTCCTTTGCTGTGCAGAAGCTTTTCAACTTGATATGATTCCATTTGTCCATTTTTGCTTTGGTTGCCTGTGCTTTTGGGGTGTTACTCAAGAAATTTTTGCCAAGACCAAGGTCCTGGAGATTTTCCCCAATGTTTTCTTTTAGTAATTTCATAGTTTGAGGTCTTAGAGTTAAGTCTTTAATCCAGTTTGATTGGATTTCTGTATACGGTGAGAGATAGGGGTCTAGTTTCATTCTTATGCATATGGATATCCAGTTTTCCCAGCACCATTTATTGAAGAGATTGTCTTTTCCCATTGTATATTGTTGGCACCTTTGTCAAAAATGAATTCATTGTAGCTGTGTGGACTTGTTTCTGGATTCTCTTTTCTTTTCTATTCTTTTTTTTTTTTTTTTTTTGGAGACAGAATCTCACTGTGTCACCCAGGCGGGAGTACAGTGGTGCAATCTTGGCTCACTGCAACCTCTACCTCCTGGGTTCAAGAATTCTCGTGCCTCAGCCTCCTGAGTAGCTGGGATTACAGGTGTGCACCACCACACCCAGCTAATTTTTTATTTTTAGTAGAGATGGGTTGCGTCATGTTGGCCAGGTTGGTCTCTAACTCCTGGCCTCAAGTATCCACCTGCCTTGGTCTCCCAAAGTGCTGGGATTACAGGTGTGAGCCACTGCGCCTGGCCTCTGGGTTCTATTTCCTTGGTCTATGTATCTGTTTTTATGCCATTACTATGCTATTTTGGTTACTATAGCTCTGTAGTACAATTTGAAGTCAGGTAATGTGATTCCTCTAGTTTTGTTCTTTTTGCTTATTAGGATAGCTTTGGCTATTCTGTGTCTTTTGTGATTCCATATAAATTTTAGGATTGTTATTTCTATTTCTGTGGAGAATGTCATTGGTATTCTGATAGAGATAGCATTGAATCTGTATATTGCTTTGGGTAGGTAAGTATGAACATTTTAACAATATGATTCTTCTAATCCATCAAAATGGAATCTCTCCATTTTTTTTGTGTCCTCTAAATTTCTTTCATCAATGTTTTATAGTTTTCATTGTAGAGATCCTTCACTTCTTTAATTCCTAGATATTTAATTTTATTTGTGGCTCTTTTAATTGGGATTACTTTTGTTATTTTTCAGATTGTTCACTTTTGGCATATAGAAATGCTACTGATTTTTGTATGTTGATTTTTTATCCTGAAACTTTACTGAATTTGTTTATCAGTTCTAATAGTTTTTTGGTGGAGTCCTTAGGTTTTTTCCAAATGTAAGATTATAATTATCTGCAAACAAGGATAATTCAACTTCTGTTCCAATTTGGATGCCCTTTATTTATTTCTCTTGTCTGATTGCTCTAGCTAGGACTTCCAGTAGTATGTTGAATAACAGTGGTGAAAGTGGGTGGTGGTGAATGCACTTTTAAAAAGAAAGTAGGTTGAGTTCCCAGAAGAAAAGAGCAGTGATCTGACCTTAGGCCTGAGAAGTAGTTTTTTTGTTGTTGTCTGTTTGTTTGTTTGTTTTTGAGACAGAGTCTTGCTCTGTTGCCAGGCTGGAGTGCAGTGGCGCGATCTCTGCTCACTGCAACCTCCGCCTCCTGGGTTCAAGTGATTCTCCTGCCTCAGCCTCCCGAGTAGCTGGGACTACAGGCACTTGCCATCATGCCCAGCTAATTTTTGTATTTTTAGTAGAGACAGGGTTTGACCATGTTGGCCAGGATGGTTTCAATCTCTTGACCCTGTGATCTGCCCGCCTCGGCCTCCCAAAGTGCTGGATTTTTTGGCCTTTAATAAGGCAAAATTTTTAAAAAAGCCTATGTTTTCTAGCAAAGAATAAGATAAATAATTTAAGGAACACTTTCACTTAATTGGAAAAGAGAGCAAAAAAGAATTTTTACTTTATTAAAAATAAAATATATAAATGTAAAAATAAAGGAAACCAAACATAACAGGATTACCTAGTGATGTAATTTCTGTATAGAAAGGAATATGAGGGAACAATAAGAATTATGAGTTCAGCCAAGCATCAGACAGAAGTGTGATAGTATCAGAATTCTTAATTATTTTCAGTCTTCAATGTTTGGGAACCTGGGTCAGAAGAGTCTTGAAACCTTTTCTTTCTTTCTTTCCTCCCTTCCTTCCTCCCTCCCTCCCTCCCTTCCTTCCTTGCTTTCTTTGCTTATTTCCTTTTAAAAGTTTAAAAAATTTGTTTGGGGGTACATAGTATGTGTATATATTTATAGGGTACATGAGATGTTTTGATAAAGGCAGGCAATGCAAAATAATCACATCATGGAGAATAGGGTATCCATTCCTTCAAGCATTTATCCTCTGTGTTACAAACGATTCAATTACATACAGTTTTGGTTATTTTTAAAATGTACCATTATGCTATGGTCACCCTGTTGTGCTATCAAATAGTAGGTCTGTTCTTTAATATTATAATTATGAGACTTGGCTGATGACAAGAATTTGCATACGGGTGTTTTCTTTTTTTATATATTTTTTAATTTTTTGAGACGGCTTTTTGCTCTTGTTGCCCAGGGTGGAGTGCAATGGCGCGATCTCAGCTCACTGTAACCTCTGCCTCCCGGGTTCAAGCGATTCTCCTGCCTCAGCCTCCCAACTAGCTGGGATTACAGGCATGTGCCACCATGCCCGGCTAATTTTGTATTTTTAGTAGAGACGGCGTTTTACTATGTTGATCCGACTGTTTTTAGTAGAGACGGGGTTTTACTATGTTGGTCAGGCTGTTCTCAAACTCTTGACCTCAGGTGATCCACCCACTTCGGCTTCCCAAAGTGCTGGGATTACAGGCATAAGCCACCACACCTGGCCTATGGGTGTTTTAATTCAAAATTTCGTCATGACTAAATTTCCCTACAAATCTAGCTTTATATTTTACTGACAATTTTTTTTGTTTGTTTGTTTTTGTTTTGAGATGGAGTCTCACTCTGTCAGCCAGGCTGGTATTCAGTGGTGTGATCTTGGCTCACTGCAACCTCCACCTCCTGGGCTCAAGTGATCCTCCCACTTCAGCCTCCCGAGTAGCTGGGACCACAGATGCACAGCACCATGCCCAGCTAATTCTTGCATTTTTTATAGAGACGGGTTTTCACCATGTTGCTCAGGCTCATCTTGAATTCCTGAGCTCAAGTGACCTTCCTGCCTTGGCCTCCCAAAGTGCTGCGATTACAGGCATGAGCCATTGCGCCTGGCCGTTACTATTTTTTAAAAATAATATATTCTGTTTTACTAATCGGTATGCAGGGTTCTTGAAGTTTGAACCAGGGAGAAATAGAGGGACATCCAGAGGATATTCCTCGTTCTCTTTCCCACCTAGCCCACTGTACACTTTCCCTACCTTGTAGATGGAAATGTCAGCGAAATTCTGGTATCATATAGGAGGTTAAGGCATCCTCATTAATTAGTTTTCCACCGCTTTTCTTTTTTCAGTTTAAATTATTTATTTATTTTTTAATCTTTCACTACTTCTTTTTCTACTCTTGTGGCCTGTAGCAACGTGTTTTTAAGAATGAAGAGCATCACTTTACTCTTTCATCCTTCCTCTGACTCTTTCCCTACAGTTACTGGTCTGAATGAACACATAAAATGAGATTTTTGTGCAAACTAAACATTATTTTCCAACTTTTCCTCCAGTCCAACAAAGTCTCTAGGAATTGGACTGTGGAAAATGGGGAAATATACTAGAAGCCCACTAGCGGAGAGAATGAATTTTACTTTTAGCCTGAGTTTCTGATTCTTTGTGCTCTGCTACTAATCTGACTTGCATTTCACTGATTGTAAATGTTGTTTTAGACTCTAAGATCAGTCTGAAAGATTTTCATATAACATTGGTTCCCTTTTTGCTTTCAATTTGAATTTGTACCACTCCATTTAGTGCTTATTTGTTCCTAGTGAGATAGCATGGCGTAATGGAAAAGAACAAGAAATAGAAATCTTAGAGGATTTCTATCTGAATTTTGGATCTTATTATTAACCATGTGGTAAATGAACATTTCTGAATTTCAGGCTGTTTGCTTTTTTTGGGGGGGGATTGTTTTTATTTTTAAATTTTTCTTGCTATCTGTGGTCACATCTCTATCAGGCTCGTTTTTTTTTGTTTTTTTTGTTTTTTTTGTTTTTTTTTTAGAATAGAATAACATCTCCTACTTCATAGGAATGCTATAAAGATTAAATTAAACTTTTTTTTTTTTTTTTTTTTTTTTTTTTTTGTAGAAAGAGGGGTCTCATTATATTACCCAAGCTGTTTTTGATCTCCTGGCCTCAAGCAATCCTCCCAGCTCCACCTCCCAAAGTGCGGGGATTACAGGTGTGAGCCACCGTGCCCAGCCAAGGATTAAATTCCATTATGCATAGACCTTTATAAAATGGAAGTCATGCAAAAAGGTTTTTTTTTTTTTCCTGCAAAAAGAGTTTTTGAATTTTACTCTGAAAAGGTGTAGAATTTAACTTTCTCCATGTCTTTTTTTTTAAGGAATCAAGTACTTAAGGTAGAAGTGTAAAGAAAATGCTGAGCAGGCCCCCAAATCTGCTCTAGACTGATTTAGAGAAGACATTTTAAAAAAATGAAAATGGGAGCCGGGCGCAGTGGCTCACGCTGTAATCCCAGCACTTCGGGGAGGCCGAGGTGGGTGGATCACGAGGTCAGGAGATAGAGACTATTCTGGCCAACATGGTGAAACCCCGTCTCTACTAAAAATACAAAAAATTAGCCGGGCCTGGTGGCACGCACGCGCTTGTAGTCCCAGCTACTCAGGAGGCTGAGGCAGGAGAATCACTTGAACCCGAGAAGCGGAGGTTGCAGTGAGCTGAGATTGTGCCACTGCACTCCAGCCTGGTGACAGAGCAAAACTCCATCTCAAAAAAAAAAAAAAAAAAAGAAAACGCCCATTAATTGAACGCCTATTATATATCCAGGATGTACTAAGAGCTATACGAAAAATCAAGATTAATCTTTTAAATATAAAATTATTGAGATGTGGCTTAATTCTGAATCAGAGAATTTTCCAGATCATGGAGATCTCTATCTCCTAAACAACAAATATTGATAATTTTAAATTACTTTTTCTCCACCTAAATTTACCTATTTGATACGATGAATGAAGGTCAACATGGATTAAAAATTTGGATATCAGTCTATCATTAGAGAATTAAGAGACTGGTATAGAGAGAAAAAAATAGATTTAGGAATACATACCTTCACGCAGTACATGGAAGAAACACCTAACTGTTGTGACATCAAATATGTTAAAGCGCTTTCATTAACTTAATTTTAGGAATATCAAAATGCAACGTGTAAATCCGGTTAATAATTAGAGGGGATGCCAGCATGCACACAGCTCCTCCAAGATAGCCAGTTAAGATGATGTGTGAGTAATAGAAAAATCATTTCTATTTTTGGAATGGTTTATATAATTTTTCAACAGAAAATTACAGGATTAGAAGGAACCTAAAAGGATGATATGGTCCAGTACCCTGACGTCAATAAATGAGTGGCTATTTTTCCTGATTTGCTCTTTTCATAAAATTGTTGCAGAAATGAAAACTGCTTGCCTTCTCTTTTTGCCATTCCATTATTTTAACCATCTGTGGGTCAAGGAGTTATTCTTAATTATTACTACGTTTAGTTTCTTTGTTGAAATAGAGAAGAGTTATAGTTAGTATCTTTTAAATTAAACATTTTTTGAGTACTAGCTCTTACTCTAGTTTCTTGGTACCATATCTTTCAGCTTTCTCTCAAAAGGTATTTTCATTCTTATCAATGCTTTTCCTATCATTCTGGATACTTCGTTAAGTTTATCTTCATTTCTCTAAGAAGTGTAAGGTGTAGTGGAAGTATTAATTTAGTATACTTGTGGTTTCTATTTGCCTGTTTTCCCTTTGAGAGCAGTACACTCCTTTTATTTCTGAATACTCTGCATCAGAGCCCCTTGTCTGGCATGTAGAATATGTTCAATAAATGTTTATTGAATGCATAAATGTATGTTCTCATTCTCTTTACACATCTTGATAGCATGCTAATGTTCATTTTTTATCAGGTAAAGCAAGAAGGGGAGGAAGTTGAACCTTAAATTTGTTTAGTGACTTTATCATGGTCACAGAACCACTACTTTTTTGGTATAGGGAGCCAAGGATCCAAATGGAGACTGCTACTATTTTGCGCAGCATTTCCCCACCTTGTATCTCATGGCCAAACTTTTCAACGCCCCAGATGCAATTTCAGCAGTTAAACGCATGATTTTTCCCCATGAATGTGTGTTCGTGTGTGTGTGTATTTTTAAGTATCCCTTCCCTCACTTTTTGGCACTGGTGCTGCTTTCTGCCTCCAATCTCTCCTCTCTCTGTTTCAGCCTCCACACTACAGCCAGAATCTGCTCTCTAAAATGCAATTGTGATCATGTTACTTCCCTATTTAAAAACCCTTCAATGGTTCACTAATGTCTTGCAGATTAAATTCAAACTCCTTGGTGTGCTAAACAAAGCACTCAAATATCTGGCCCCTTCTACGCGCTTATCGCTCATCATACCCTCTCTTGCATTCACTTAGCTGGTGGTATCAAACTTCTCAACAGTTCCCTACACAAGAGCCTGTTTATTGATCCTTCAGCCTGGAATTACTTCCCTTACCCGACTCAAGACTCTAGCGCCACCTTTGCTATGAAGTCTCTCTTGACCATACTCACAGATAGAACTGATTGTTCCTTTGTGTGTATGCCCACACCCTTACAGGCCTGGATCTTAAGTCTGTTATCACTGCGTTGCGCTTATTTACAAGTATCCGCTGTCCCACCCACGCTCCACTTAGGCCTCTTTATACCCCTAGGTACTCACACAGAGCTTGGCACAAGTGATGCTTTATAAATGGTCAATGAATGAACGTAGTGGAAACACAGAAGAAGAGGGAGAAGAACTGGGGAAGAAAGAAGCTCTGTGGAGAGAATACTAATTGTTTTGCACATGAAAATAATGAGTTGTGAGGGAGGTCAAAAAGGTCAAAGGGAAGAGCCCTGCCTTACAGGAACTCACTGTCTGCTGGGAGGCAAGAGGTAAGGTCCGCATACCAAACACACGAAGCAATGAGCTTATCGGGGTGAAAATGGCTCGTGCACATTATAGTATCACAGAAACTTAGAGGCTGGGGGAGGATGGAGAGGAAACTGGCCTAGTCAAGTGTCTTCTAAGTGTTAGGCGGTTTTCGAGCGTTAAACAGTTTAATCTTTACAACCACCCCATGATGAGGATAGTAGCTCCATTTTAGGGACGAAGAAACATGCTCAGAGAATTTAGGTTGCCCAATGTCACAAACTACCATGTGGAAGGACCATAATTAGAATTTAGGTCAACTGCCTCCAGAGCCCTGAGGCTTTCGCTCCCCCTCTCTCGGCGGTCGAGACCCACAGGGCTCCCATTCACCTGCGCGTCGGCCTGCGCTAGCTATAGCCCTCAGGCGCGCCGCGTTCCGCGCACTCACACCACCCTCTGCGCGCCAGCCCTGCGTCCCTCCCACGCGAACTGCGCCGGCGCGTCCAGCCCTCCCGCCCGGGGGAGGGGCGGGGTTGCGTCGCTGCCGCTGACCCTTGAGCGCGCGGCGGCAGAGGCGGTGTCCAGGCTTCCGGGCGGGTAGTCCTTCGGCTCCGGAGCCGCGACTGCGCTCGCCTAGGTGGTGGGCGGGGAGGGAAGGAAGGGAGCGGGCGCAAGGCGGCGGCGGCGGCTGCGGGTGAGGAACTTGTTGCGCCCGCGGCTGCGCGGTGCCCCTCCCTCCGCTCCAGTTCGTCGGGGCGGGCGCGGCGGCGGCGGCGAAGGAGGAGCGCGGCCGGGGCGATGCGGCGCTACCTGCGCGTCGTGGTGCTGTGTGTGGCCTGCGGCTTCTGCTCGCTCCTTTACGCTTTCAGCCAGCTCGCCGTGTCCCTGGAAGAAGGAACGGGCGGCGGTGGCGGGAAGCCGCAGGCCGCGGTGGCTTCCTGGCTCGCGGGCGGCGGACGCGGCGCCGTGAGAGGCGCCGGCGTCGCGGGCCCCGCAGCGCATCCCGGCGTGTCGGACAGGTACGGGCAGTTCCCGGTGTGGGGGACGCGGCGGGCGCGGGGCGCTGGGCGCGGGCTCGGCCTAGCCCGGGCTGCTCGCCGGTGGGTGCCGCGTCTCCCGCGTCTTTCCTCCTGTCTCTGACCCCTCACTCATTTCCCTCCTTCCCCTCCGGCCGGGGCTAAACCTGCGCTGCTCCCGCCTGAGAGTGTCCTACACTTTCTGTGTTTATCTTTTGACCCAGTCATGCGCCCTTTAAAGCAGTTAGAAATTAATTTTCAACTTTTTAAAAAGAGGGTTCTTTGAAAATAAGAGGTGTCCACAAAAGCCTTACTGCTGCCTGGCTAGTGAGAATTTCCTCTTGTTTCAGTGGAGTTCAAGTTGAGATATTTAAACATGAGGCTGGCGCCCTAGTTCAGTGTTTAAGGATTGTGTGTGTGTGTGTGAGTGTATATGTGTGTGTATTTTGTCCCTCATGCTGATTTTCCTGTGTTAACGCTTACACTTCTAAGTATTAGCCATGGTTAGTTAAATTTGGAAATGGCATTTGTGCGGGTTGTGAAATTTTCTTTTGGAAACACTCAGTTTATTAAGAAACTTAGAGCAAATTAAGAAAAATGAGCGATACTTGGCGTGCTCAAGTCTGTTGTTGGATGGGATGGAGTTACCTTTCTTGACAAATTGGTATTTAAAAAGCGACGTAATGACTTAGGACGTAATCACTGCCAGAGTGGGAATCAACATGAGATTTAAATAGAAAAAAAATGTTTCTGTCAACGCATTATGAATGCTTGAAATCTGAGCGTTTGCACTGCCTTGCAACATGGACACTTCCACCTTATGTATGGGCATCTCTCTGGGAATGACCTGAAGTGCTCCCTACCAAGACTTGGCAAATGCTGCTTTGATATAGAGAAGTATAGGGTTTGTCGGAAGAGGGAGTATAGATCAGTTGTGGGCTGTTGTTTAACATCATTTTGAGAGTCGATGGTCATTCCCAGAATGAAAGGGGAAAGTTTGGGCAGAGGAGCAGCGTGGAAAGCGGACTTGTCATGTTTTTACCCTGAGATTTGATTACAGTCAGGGTAATTCCTACATCAGGACCCTCAGTTGTCTGTCCTGGGAGAAAGCAGTCACTGAAGACTTGAATGAGCTCGTGAAAAATGACAGGTTGAAGCTAAACTGTTTATGGCCTAGTATGTTATTGTGAAGCATTTGCAATTATGGAAAAGGAATTATTTTTATATGGGGTAGAATTGTAAGGAAGCAACATTTTAATTAAATATTGAATGAAATTAGACTGATGTTAACATCACATTTTTAGTGCCTTGGTCTTAGATATTTTATTTTGTGACAGAAATTTACAAATTTTGTTTGCTTGACCAGCTAATTTTAATAAAATTATTTGAAATTTTCGAAAATAGCCTCAGTTTTAATAAACATCCAATATAATCATTACTGAAACGTTAAGTTTTATGTGTCAGGATTGAGTCAACCGAAATACTGTACTTTTTTAGGTCCTTTGAGTAGCATTACTCTTTATTTTAAATGAGGCGTACATCTAAGTTAGAACTATAGGTGTATTTATCTCTCTTTGTAAAAATGTGATGAAGAACAGCATGTCACCACATTTGCGCGCATAAGAAACCATTTGGGCAGGGGAACAACGTGGAAAAGTTGGATTGTGAAGTTTTACTCTATGGTTAGATTAAGATCACGCAAATTACTAAGACCTCAGGACTCTATTTTGTATATCGTCATTTATAACATCTTTATAGAAATGTCATAGAATTAAATCAACTTTTGGCAACGCTCGGTAGCTCACGCCTGTAATCCCAGAATTTGGGGAGGCTGAGTGGGGATGATTGATTGCTGGAGGCCAGGAGTTTGACACCAGCCTCGTCAACAACCCATCTTTACAAAAAATAAAAAAATTAAAAAAAAATTAACTGAATGTGGTGTTTCACACCTGTAATCCCAGCACTTTGGGAGGCTAAGGTGGGAGGATCACTTGAGCCCAGGAGTTCAAGGCTACAGTGAGCTATGATTGCACCAGTGTAATCCAACCTGGGTGACAGAGCAAGATCCTGTCTCAAAAAAAAAAAAAAAAATTAACTTTTTTGGCCACCATGAGATACGGTATAGAAATCCCTAACCTCTTCATGTATAAATCATTTGGCCAAGATCCAAAGCAAATCAGTGTTGGAGGAGGATTAGAAACTGTATCCTTGGAGTGTTATACAAGAGCTCTTTCTGTAAAGAAAGATAAGGGTCTAGTTTAGATAGTGGACTCAGTGGGCAATGGGGCTATGGGGCAAGCCAGCAGCTTCCTCTTTTCAGTAGTACTTAGGTATTATTGCATTTTTGCCTTTTTTGATAACATCTTACTTGAAAGATTATAACTATTTCTCTCTTTTTATTTTAAACACGGGATCTAGGTTTGTACCCAGTAAGTTCCATTGGTCAGATCTTATAAAAACTATTCATGGTATAGAATTTCATGACGACAAAAGACTTGGAGTCCTTGAAGTAAGAACTTTAAAATGAAAGGAACAGTTTTTCAGTGGAATCTCTTATCCGTTAGTGTATTCTGTTTGAAGCCATGATTTTAATAATCAGAAAATACATGGGTCTTGTAGTCAGATAAACCCGTGTTCTCAGTATTCTGGCTCTGGTTGCTGTGAGACTTTGCCTAAATTGTGTCACATGCCTGTGTTTTAATTTCCTCACCTGTAAAATGTAGATAATACTTAAATTTTTTTAGCTTTAGTAGGGTATAATTGATAAATAGAAACTATATGTTTAAGGCATAGAACTTGATAGTTTGACATACATATACATTGAGAAATGATCACAGTTAAGCTAGTTAATATCATCACTTCACATAGGGTTTTTTTTTTTGTGGTGAAAGCACTAAAGATCTACTGTCTTAGCACATTTTAGGTATACTGTACACTTTGTTAACTATAGTCATCAGGCTGTACATTAGATTACCTTACTTAATTTGTAATAGAATTCTTAGTTGTCTTTGATGAAAATTCAGTAAAACTATCTCAAGCAAAACATATTTATAGGCTTATACAGTTTTTGAAATGAAGGAAAAACTGCAGATAGCAGGGCAGCTCAAAGGACCTTAAGGACTGGGGAGTCTTTTCCAGTAAAGACAAAACTTTGTTCATGGGGTTTTTCTGTTCTTGCAGGTTTTATTCTCTAATCTCAAATACAAAATCCTAGGAAAAGGCTGTCATTGGACTTGCCTGGGTTGCATGCCCGTTTGTGGACCAGTCAGTGTTACTTGGGATGGGGAACTCTGATTTGTTGACTCTGTGTCACTTGCACATTCCTGTGGCAGACAGAATAACATGATTGGTGTTGGAGAGGAGCGGTGCCTCAAAGGAGAAGGAATGCTGGATAGGCAGTGGCTGTTCTAGAAGGAGATACTCAAGCTCTTCAGTGTGGACAGACTGTATTAAGGTGTTTGACAGAAAGCAGTAGTTATTACCGGACATCACTAATTCATACCACTTTGTTGCATTTTAGTTACTCAGGATGATTAAATTATCATATTTCACTGATGAGTCCTGACATTGATTATCAAAATTTTACCTGTGGCTATACAGCAGTATTGGTAGTGGGGAATCAAGAAATTACTAAATGTTTCAGTGATACCGTTTCTGGACCCATCAAGCCCTTGGAGTCTCCTTATGTGTCTCCTTGTCACACAGGGAGGTAATTATTTCACTTTCTTTTTTAGATCTGGTTAGGCCATAGAGTTGTCATTTCTGCTGGATCCTGGGAATACTAGTGTTATATACTGAGAACTTAAAGAATAGAAAGTAAGAGTTTTGGAGTGACAGACTTCAGCTTTGCCACTTACTGTGTTGACCTTGAACTTGTTTTCGTCATCAGAGAGAACAGTATGATATTGTTTGTGAGAATTGAAATTAAATATTAAATAGCTGATACAGAGTACCTAGTATGGTGCCTGACACAACAACATTTTAGCTAATATCATTTTGGTAATTTAAATTTTAAGTTGGGATTTTTTTTTTCTTCCAATTTCTGACCTCTGGGAAAAATTCTGGTCATTGGGCTCCAGTTAAGACCTGTTAAATCAAAATGCCCTGGCAGTGGGGTCCAGGAATTTATGTTTTAGATATGTGCTCCAGCTTGTTATAAAACCAAAAATTGAGAATAGTTTGGGCACTATTTTCACACTACTGTTTTTAGTGAAGTCCCCCCCCCCCCGCCTTTTTTTTTTTTTTTTTGAGATGGAGTCTTGCTCTGTCACTCAGGCTGCAGTGCAGTGGTGCGATCTCAGCTCACTGCAAGCTCCGCCTCCCGGGTTCATGCCATTCTCCTGCCTCAGCCTCCCAAGTAGCTGGGACTACAGGTGCCTGCCACCATGCCCAGCTAATTTTTTGTATTTTTAGTAGAGACGGCGTTTCACCATGTTAGCCAGGATGGTCTCCATCTCCTGACCTTATGATCCGCCCACCTCGGCTTCCCAAAGTGCTGGGATTACAGGCATTAGCCACCGTGCCCAGCCCTTTTCCCCCCTTTTTTCTGCAGTTATGTTTGAAGAAGAGAGTTGAGTCAGTGAACAGTAAAGAAAGTTGAATTACTTACTAAAGCCACTTTAATCTCTGCTTTGTTATTGCAAAAACATCTTACATAAAACCAGTGCCCTATACTTTGTATTTTAGGTCATTGAAGGATCATAGTGGTATCTACGTTACATATTTGTGAAGGGTTATCTTGGTTTCTTTGGGCTGCTATAACAAAATACCATCGACTAGAGAGCTTAGAAACTACAGAAATTTATTTCTTACAGTTCTGGAGACTAGAAATCCAAGTCAAGGTACCAGCAGATTCAGTGTCTGATGAGGACCCATTTCCTGGTTCATAGATGGCGCCTTCTCCCTGTGTTCTCACATGGTAGAAGAGGCGAGGCAGGCCCCTTTTATAAGGCCCCCCACTAATCCCATTCATGGGGGCTCTGCTCTCATGACCTAATCATCTACCAAAAGGCCCTACCTCCTAACATCATGTTAGTAATTAGATTTCAACATATGAATTTTGAGGGGACACATTCAGACCATAGCAAATTCTTAGTCCAAACCTGACACATATTAATAAATACTAGTAATTAATTAATTAAAATATTCTGTGCTTTTGGAGGAGAAAGTTACTTGGTTGATGAAAAAATAATATGTACTTTTGATTTAGAAATCTTTTTTTTTTTATTTCTGAGACAAGGTTTCACTCTGTTACCCAAGCTGGAGTACAGTGGCCTGAGATCATGGCTCACTGCAGCCTTGACCTTCTGGGCTCAAGTGATCCTCCCACCTTAGCTTCCCGAGTAGCTGTGACTACAGGCGTGCACACCACACCTGGCTTTTTTTTTTTTTGAGACAGAGTCTCGCTCCATTGCCCAGGCTGGAGTGCAGTGGCATGATCTTGGCTCAGTGCAACCTCCGCCTCCCGGGTTCAAGCAGTTCTCCTGCCTCAGCCTCACAAGTAGCTGGGATTACAGGTGTGTGCCAACTGCCCAGCTTTTTTTGTTTTTTTCTTTTTGTATTTTTTAGTAGAGACGGGGTTTCACCGTGTTGGCCAGCCTGGTTGGTCTTGAACTCCTGACCTCAGGTGATCCACCTGCCTCGGCCTCCCAAAGTGCAGGCATGAGCCACCATACCCTGCCTAGAAAATCTTATTTTAAAGCAGTAAGATCATTATCTATATGCCATACCTATTGGAAGTACTTCCCCTACGTATAAACTTAAATTTTGTTCATAATGTGTGTACTGTATGAGGTTTATGATTTTTGTTTTCAGATTGGCTACTTTTTACTTTATCGTGTTTACCTTTATTACGCATAGGAAAGCTTTCTACCAGTTTTTTTCCCCTCCCTTTTTTAGATTTAAATCAATCCAGCTTTGTGGGGGAGCTGGGGGCTGGTAGAGGAGGTATATTGTGTGATGCTAACTTATTCTTTGAAATGGGTAGATGATTGTTTCAGTGTCATTTATATATAAGCAGTCCTTTTCCTACTTGCCAAGGATTAATGAAATTAGAAATTTAAGAAAAAGAAGATCTTACTTAGAGCTAGAAGTTAAGTTGTCTAGAAATTATTTATTTGTTTGTTTGTTTATTTATTTATTTATTTGAGACGCAGTCTCTGTCACCCAGACGCAGTCTCTGTCACCCAGACTGGAGCGCAGTGGCACTCTCTCGGCTCACTACAGCCTCCACCTTCTGGGTTCAAGCGATTCTTCTGCCTCAGTCTCCTGAGTAGCTGGGACTACAGGCGCATGCCACCACACCTTGCTGATTTTTTATTTTTAGTAGAGATAGGGTTTCCCCATGTTTGCCAGGCTGGTCCCGAACTCCTGACCTCAGGTGATCTGCCTGCCTCAGACTCCCAAAGTGCTGAGATTACAGGCGTGAGCCACTGCGCCCGACTTGGAAACAATTTAGTTGAAAATTAAATAGTAGTGATTTGGCAGTATCATGGGAATGGCCTCCTTTAATGTGTCCGTAAGCATCTTTGCTTTTCTTGCACAGTCACAGGGAGGGTATACATGCCTTGAAGTTGCATTACTGCTTTGCAGCAGCACTTCATTCATACTGTCAAATATTTATGCTGAATATGCCTAAATTTATCACTGACTTTTTTTTTTTTTTTTCAATTTGAGATGGAGTCTCGCTCTGTCACTTAGGCTGGAGTGCAGTGGCATGATCTCGGCTCAAGGCAAGCTCCGCCTCCCGGGTTCACGCCATTCTCCTGCCTCAGCCTCCCAAGTAGCTGGGACTACAGGCGCCTGCCACCACGCCCAGATAATTTTTTGTATTTTTAGTAGAGACAGGGTTTCACCGCACCGTGTTAGCCAGGATGGTCTCGATCTCCTGACCTTGTGATCCGCTTTTTTTTTTTTTTTTTTTTTTGAAACAGATGCTCTGTCGCCCAGGCGGGAGTGCAATGACGCGATCTCAGCTCACTTTAACCTCTGCCTCCTGAGTTCAAGCGATTCTCCTGCCTTAGCCTCCCAAGTAGCTGGGAGTACAGGTGCATGCCACCAAGCCTGGCTAATTTTTTGTGTTTTTAGTAGAGACAGGGTTTCACTGTGTTAGCCAGGATGGTCTCGATCTCCTGACTTTGTGATCCTTCTGCCTCGGCCTCCCAAAGTGCTGGGATTACAGGCGTGAGCCACTGCGCCTGGCCTAATTTTTGTATTTTTAGTAGAGATGAGGTTTCACCATGTTGGTCAGGCTCATCTCGTATCACTGACTCTTTGGTAAGTTTTGCATAGTTTTCACTGAAGCCTCCTATCTTGGACATTTTGAAATGAAAATTACTTTTTCTAGTTTAACTTAAAAGTACAACCAGGCATGGTGGCTCGTACCTGTAATCCTAGCAGGGAGGCAAAGGTGGGTGGATTGCTTGAACCCAGAAGTTCTAGACCAGCCTTGGCAAAACACTCTCTCAACAACAACAAAAATACAAAAAATTACCTGGGCATAGTGGTGTGCGCCTGTGGTCCCAGCTACTCCAGAGGTTGAGGTGGGAGGATTGCTTGAGCCCAGGAGGTTGAGGCTGCAATGAACCGTGTTCGCACCACTGAACTCCAGCCTGGGCGACTTGTGTGTGTGTGTGTTTGTTTGTATGTATGTATGTATGTATGTATGTATGTATGTATAAAAAACCTCCTGTAATTGGTTTTAAGTAAACTTCAAGTTTGACAAATGTTATTATGCCGAGTGTTGTTTTATCACATGTAAATACATGTAACCACCCCCAAAATTAGGATTAGGATACAGAATTGTTTCATCACCGCAAAGGTACCTTGTGCTACCCCTTGGTCAGTTGTAGACAAGCTACCTAGAGCTAGATGCTTTATGCCTTATTAAACTTGAGGATGAGCCATAGTAACATTTTATTTCAGTTTGATCCACAGTGAAAAAGTTCCCTTTTAGGACTTCAGTGCTTTTGAATGTCAGTATGGGTATAGTGAAGACATACCCACCTAACTCATATTAATGCTTTGCCTCATTAAAATTATTTAATAGAGTTACCTCTTTGAATGTTGGATGTTTAATATTCTGCTTTCAACAGTTTTAAGCAACTAATAGCCAGAACCTGGATAACTACCTTTACTTTTCCAGTATTTTCAAACTTTAATTTTTCTTTTTGGCCTAAAAGTGCAAGTGCTGTCTTCAGATGAGTTGCTTTTGCTAATTTATCTTATTGCTTCTAATAAGCCACTGATATGTCATAAGTTCTCAGTGTGAGTTTCTACTCTTTATCTAAATCTCCCAAACCAGTTTTTCAAAATGGGAGAATAGATATTTGGGAGTTAAAAAACTATAAACAAATTACTTCATTCCTTACAGCAATACCTAAGTGTTTTATGATTTTTTAATGGTATGCAGCATATGTATTCACTAGTGCATGTGTTCTTATATTTCCAGTAAAGAAAGAAAAACATCTTTCCTATATACTATGTGTTTTTTGACATTGAATTATGATCAATAAATTTACCTATAACTTGATTTTTCCTATCCAATTTTGACTGCATTAAACCTTTGTGAAGTAAATCATTACCCCCCAAAGAAACCCTGTATCCAGTAACAGTAACTCCCACCTTGCACTCCTCAGTCCCCCAGTCATGAGCAACCACGAGTCTACTTTCTGTCTGCCTGTTTGGGGCATTTTACATAAAGGAATCACACAGTATGTGGCCTTTTGAATCTGGCTTTCTTTTTGGCATAATATTTCAAGGTTTATCCACTGTAGCGTGTATCACTATATTTCATTCCTTTTTATGGACAAATAATAGTCCATTGTATGGATATACCACATTTTGCTCATTATTTGGTGGACATTTGAGTTCTTTCATACTTTTTGGCTATTATGAATAATGCTGCTCTGAGCATTCATGGACAGTTTTTCTGTGAACATGTTTTCAGTTCTCTTGAGTATATACTGAGGAATTTAATTGGTGAGTCATGGTTGCACAACTCTGAATATACGAAAAACCATTGAATTACACACTTTAAAAGGGAATTATGCTTGTATTATTCTGCTTTGCTTTGTAACAACCCCATACATCTAAACAGTTTACAATAGCAAGCATTTATTTCTTGCACACATTACATGTCTATGGCTATGACTTTGCTTGATATATCTTCTCATCCTGGGATCCAAGCTAAAGGAGCAATCCATACATTGGATATGCCTGGTCTTGTGGTAGTGGATGAGCAAGAAGCCAGATTGAACAACACAGTCCCATTTGAAGCTTCTACTTTGATGCCACAGTATCATGTCTTTTTATATTATTTTGGCCAAAGCAAGTCACTTGAATAAGGTCAAAGTCAATAAATGATGCAGGGATATATGCCTCCCTTATCAGGCAGGCAAGGCCCATGGTAATGAATAGGGTTGTATAATCCTTTTACAGTTAAATGTGGGGAGTGAATAACTGAACAGTAATACAGTCTACTACACAAATAGAGATTGCCAGTTAAGGAGAAAGAAAGACTAATTGATGCAAGAAGGTCTTTAAGGACTCCTGAGAAGAAGATGGGCAACAAGGGGAAGCATATGGAGTTGGTAATAGGTATGAGACTAGCTAAGGGGAAGACAATTAATTTATATTTCTACTAATCAGCATAGTCATGTCATTAACTGTTCTTCAGTATTCATCTGAGAATGTGAATGAACAGCTCAGTTTCAACTGAAGATTGTGCTGAAAAGGTACGGTGAAAGAAGAAGGTGGAAGTTTGCAGGTATAGGAACATGAATGGATGAACCATATGATGTAGTCTGAGTAGGGAGGGAAATGGGTAAAGCAGGGAGCTTATACTTAGGAAGCATGTGATTGGAGGGCTGAGTGATTTCCACACATGTAATGGGATATAAATAATAAGCCTGGGCAACAAAGCAAAACTTTGTCTCTACAAAAAATTTTTTAAAAATTAGGCTTGGTGGCACATGCTTATAGTCCTAGATACTTGGGGACTGAGGCAGGACGATAGCTTGAGCCCAGGAGATTGAGGCTGTAGTGAGCTGTGTTTGTACCACTGCACTCCACCCTGAGCGACAGAGCAAGACCCTGTCTCAGAAAAAAGAACCATAATTATTAGATCAGAGACTAGTCTGAGATGAGGTATTGGATTGCAGTTTCTGACAGGGTCCAGGATTTGTCATTTTTTTACTTTTTCTTCTCTCTCTCTTTTTTTTTCTTTTGTCAGAGAGGGTCTCACTCTGTTGCCCAGACCTGGTGTGCATTGGCATGATCACAATTCACTGTAGCCTCAAACTCCTGGGCTCAAACTATCCTCCTAACTCAGCCTCCCGAGTAACTGGGACTACAGGCACACACCACCATGCCTGGCTAATTTTTTTTTTATTCTTTGTAGAGATGGGGTTTTGCCATGTTGCCCAGGCTGGTGTTGAACTCCTGGGCTCAAGCGATCCACCCACGTCGGCCTCCTAAAGTGCTGGGATTACAGGTGTGAGCCACTGTGCCCGGCCAGCATTTGCCATTTTTCACTGAAGGGAAAAGGAGGTAAGAGTTACTGGATTTAAAGAATTGTGTAACCTGGGTGTTGGTTAGGTCTCTCACCTTGCAGTATCTGAAATGACATTCTGTTACTCCCCACTAGACAGTATGATCCATGTCCATTTTACTCACTATAGTGTTGCCAGTGTTTGGCCTGTGTAGGTAGTCATTCAGTAGAAAATTTATTGATTTACCAAATGAATGGTTAGAGGAAAGTAGGATTTGGTACTGAGACGAGGACTGTGAACCGGATGCTAGTTTTCTGTGAGTTGGGGAGGAACCAGTAGGTTGGTAGATCAGAATGGTGTGGCATTGTGGCTCTTTTACATGGCTAGCAGTTGATGCTGGCTTTTGACTAGGAGCTCAGTGGAGGCTGTTGATCTGCATTCTCTCAAGTGGCTTCTGCATGTGCCTTGGGCTTCTTACAACGTGAAGATCAGGTTCAAAGAGTGTTCCAAGAAATAGGATGTGGAGCTCTTAAGGGAAGGGCCTGGACATTGGTACAGTATTATATTCAGTATTCTATTTGTCAAAGCAATCACAGAGCCCACTTAGATTCTGGATAAGGGGAGTTAGATCCTACTTGGTTGGTTGGTTGGTTGGTTTTTTGAGACAGAGTCTTTCTCTGTCACCCATGCTGGAGTGCAATGGAATGATCTTGGCTCACTGAAACCTCCGCCTCCTGGGTTCAAGCGATTCTCCTGCCTCAGCCTCCTGAGTAGCTGGGATTACAGGCAACCGCCACCACACCTGACTGATTTTTTTTATTAGAGATGGGGCTTCACCATGTTGGCCAGGCCATTCTCAAACTCCTGACCTCAAGTGATCCGCCTACCTTGGCCTCCCAAAGTGCTGGGATTAGAGGCATGAACCACTGCGTGCAGCAGATCCTACTTATTAATAGAAGTGTCAGATGTGTGATCATCCTTAATCCACCATACTTGGCACCTAGTTTGGTACTAGCAGAAGTGTAGGGCTCTTGGTGTGGCTCAAAGCTTCACAAAATTTAAACTCGTTACTGAGTTGTTCAATATGTTGGTCTTGTTGAATTTAATTCTCATGTCTGTGGCTTCGTCATCTTGCATCAACTTAAAAAAAAAAACAAAACAAAAACATTGCCCCCAAATACAGTTTAATTGTAATACTGCAAGAGGGTCTTTTGAGTTAGAAGCTCCCTGGTGGATATTTCCTGAGAACAGGGAGTTTGAGGTGTGCTCTCTAGCTCACGTGGGCGTTTTCTTGAGACTAACGAAGATCAAGTAGTTTCAGCAACTTCTGCATGTTGGCAACATACACGTTAACTTTTCTAGTCAAATATTTGTAGGAAGATATTTTTGAAATATGGGGTAGTAAAGATACGAAAATGTTAATAGTGGTGGGTAATTTGTTTCTTAGGCTTTAAAAAATTTTCTAAACGGTACTTAATAAAATGTATTGATTGAAGTATTCGTAGAAACACAAATTTTCAAAATTTAATCATTTTTAAGTTGGAGTAAACAGGATTATCATAAGAGAAATGATCAGTACTGCGATAAAAAAATTTCAAGCTGACTCTAGTTATTCCTTGATACACAATGTTTCTCATTCAGGTCTGATTTTAAGACTTATCTGCGGATATTGGTGAAAAATTCAGCTTTTTAGGCCACTTCTCTGGGGAGTCTTGATTAACTGGGTATGGGATAGGATCCTATATCTGTATTTTTAACAAGTGACCTGAGGACCAGGCAGGTTTGGAAAACAACACATAACTGATTTGTTTTGTAACTTAAAGTACAAGTTGAGGCTGCAAATGGTATTGTTAAATATATATAATTTTAATTAATTTTATAGAAAAATTGAATTTGTTTTTGAGATTTCTATTTCCATGTTTCACTGTTGTAGAGTTTGACAGGGGATATGGAATAACCTGATTAGTTATCGTCTTCGTAGAACAAAGGTACACATTAGGTGTTGATTGTAAATAAATTGTGCATTTGTTGAAATAAAGCTGTGCTATCATCTGTATCTGAAAGACGGAGATCATACCTACCTTAAAACGTTTCTAGTGAGTCTAAATGGGTGTGAAAGTGCTTGAATCTGAAAATAACTCTGTTAGTTGTTATTACCATCAATGAGTCTGACTGTGTGGTATGAAATCAAAGACTTAAGAAAATACATAGCCATGCCTGAGAGGGTACAAACACAGATTTTCTAATCAAGTCATAAGTTTTACCGATACATACACATTTTCTTCTCTTTCTGGTTCAGCCTTTTAAATGAAGATATGTAGCCTTTTGTGCTATGCTAGAATGTGGTGTCCCTTTAGAGGAAAACAAAGTTATAATGTAACTTTTTTCTGTTGGTTAAGAAATTCCAACCTTGTTCTTTATGCAGTAGTATACACAATTACTTAGGCAGCATTTTAAAAACCACCAGTGCCAGACCGTTTCTAGAGATTCTGATTTAATAGGTCTTGTGTGGCACCCTCTACCAGGGCTAAGAACCCCTGCCTTAGACTGTTGCCATTTGTGAGAGATGTGATCAGATTTTTGCAAATCAGAAATTTCATAGACCATTTGATATAAGCACAGTAACTCATAATTGAATTCATAATGAGAGAAAACAAAGCTGCATAGTGATGAGATAATGAAGTGACCTGGTTTAGTGACTCACCCTGACTTCATACATACTTTAGTACCCAGTGACTTTTAGACTATTATTTTGAAAAGAAATCACGATGAAAAACAATTTTTTTGTAATGTAAGGTGTTTTCTTTTTTCCGTTTTGGCTCCAACATGCAACCTAACAAGAAAGACCAGACTTGATCTTCCATTTTAGCTTGTATAATATGGAACTGAGATTATGTAGATAATGATACTAGGCTGTGAATATCAGCATGATTTTCGGGTTTTTTTGGGGCAGGGAGGGTGGTTAAAAATTTTTTTTGTTTTTGTTTGAGACAGAGTCTCTTTTGCTGTGTTCAGCCAGGCTGGGGTGCAGTAGCACAGTCACAGCTTATTGCAACATCAAACTCCTGGGCTCATGCCATCCTCCCACCACAGCCTCCTGAGTAGCTGGGACTTAAGGTAAATGCCACCATGTCCAGCTAATTTTTTATTTTTAGAGACGGAGTCTTGTTATGTTGACCATGCTAATCTTGAACTCCTAGCCTCAAGCAGTCTACCTACCTCAGCCTCCCAAAGTGCTGGGATTATAGATGTGAGCCACTGTGCCTGTCTGTGTATGTGTGTATGCATGTGTGTATATGTATGTATATATACACACAGCAGTGGGGTTGCTGGATCATATGGTAGTTCTATTTTCAGTTTTTTGAGGAATCTCTATATACTGTTTTTTTTTATAGTGACTGTAGTAATGTATGTTCCTACCAGCAGTGTATGAGTGTTTCCTTTTCTCTTCATACCTTTGCCAGGATTTGTTTTTTGCCTTTTTGATAATAACCATTTTAACTGGGTGAGATGTTCTCTCATTGTGGTTTTAATGTGCGTTTCCCTGATGATTAGTGATATTGACCATTTTCATATACATCTTGGCTGTTATGTTTTATTTTTCAGTTTAAAACACCATACAAGTAGTTTGGATTGAGGATTAATTTAAAAGCATTTAAAGATCTTCTTTTCCCTTTCTGCCAGTATTGGTGGCATTTTTATTATGTTTGAGGATAAGCAAATATTTTGTTTGTCCCAAAGGGATTTTGTTCTAGGGGTATATGTGTAGCCTGTGAAGAAAATTTTAGAAGACATATTTGTCTGTGTTATCTGAGGAGGGGATTTTATCAGGAGACTCTCCGACGGAAACACTGTTTCCCAATCTATAGTATAGTCTACCTTCAGGGTTTTAAAGTTCTATTTAAAATAATGGTGCCCTAAGTAAGGGAGAAATCAGTTTTCCAAAATCTTTATCATAGCAATTTGGATTTATAATTTTATTTGCTTTAAAATAGAACAGTAAGTTATCGTGTTACTGAGTAAATTCCTTGTTAGTTCCAAACCAAAATACTCACACAGGACTCTTATTTCTGTCTTACTCTGTTAGGTGTAAAGATTTCTCTCTGTGTTACTGGAATCCCTATTGGATGCTGCCCTCTGATGTTTGTGGAATGAACTGCTTTTGGGAAGCGGCTTTTAGGTAGGCACTTAATATTTAATTGGTAGATCAGTGTAGATAAGGTTAGATAGTTGATAATAAAACCTTTGTAATAGGATGTAAGAATGTTTCTTATGATATTATACAAATAATTTATTTTCTTATTGGGTTTTCTATTTTTCCCATTTTGTAGTTGTTATTGCTATTTTTTAGTACATACTGTGTATAAATGCTTTAAATTTTCTTAGATGTTATTAAGACAAACCACTGTTCTTAAGAGAATTTATGATCTAACTTTTGGTAACAGTTGATAAAGTGATAAACTAGGATAAAAATAGGCTTCTACTGACGTTTACAGATATATCTATATATATAAAATATGGCATTTATCTAAAAGCTTGTGTACTATAGTGGATGGGGACAACTGGAGAAGGATTATATTCGTTATTAGTAGAGAGATTGAATACTGGGAATAGGAGGATAAAGATAAGTATTTAATGGAGGAGCAGATGGAGGAGCAGCTCCTGGCTACTTCTTCCTTTAATGTTTATTGACCTTTTAAGTTACTGACTAGTTCGGCTTTATTCACTTCTCTGGATAATGAAGGTATTGGGTACTCTGACCTCTTAGGTCCCTTCCTGCTCTAATCTAGAATGAAAGAAACAGGTATTGATAAGAATACGATAAGGCAGTGACTCTCAGACTATCTCCCTGATACAGTGGCAGAGGAGAGTGGGGCAAAGGTTTGAAATGCTCTTCCCAAGAGTAAAATTCCTTAGAAGAGTATCTATTTACTGCGTCTTTATGATTCATTTAAATAGTCTAGGTTGGGTATGGTGGCTCACGCCTGTAATCTCAGCATTTTGGGAGGCTGAGGCGGGAGTATTGCTTGAGCCCGGGAGTTCAAGACCAGCCTGGGCAACAAAAGCAAGACCCTGTCTCTACAAATTTTTTTTTTAAATTACCCAGGCATGGTGGCATGCGCTGGCTTGGGTGGGAGGATTGCTTGAGCCGTGGAGGTTGAGGTTGCAGTGAGCTGTGATGACGCCACTGCTCTTCAGCCCAGAGCAAGACCCTGTCTCAAAAAAACAAATAAAATAAATATTAATTCTACTCATTATATTTGCCACACGCTGTGCTAGGTGGTAAGCACTGGACTCTTGGGTCAGGTTAATTGTGGCTCCATCCTTTTGGAGCTTACGTTCTGATGGGAGTTTCACACTAGTAAACCTGAAATTACAATAGAGTGTGACAAGTTGTTGCTATGATGAGTCATCTTAAAGCATCAGGGAAGACTTGGAGGGAGTGACCAGATGATGATCTGGAAATTAGCTAGTTTCAAGGACAGGAGGTGAAGTGTTTGAGATAGGAAGAACTTCATTTTTAAAAACTTTTAATTAAAAAATTTATTTTTAATTGACAATAATTCTATGTATTTATGGGGCATAAAGCGATGTTTTGGTGTCTGTATATATTGTGGACTGATTATATCAAGCTCATTAACATGTTTATCATCTTACATATTTATCTTTTTTTTGTAATGGGCACATTTAAAACCTATTCTCTTCGCAGTTTTGAAATAAACATAATTATCTGTAGACACCTTGCTGTGCAGTAGATCTTGAGAACTTATTCCTTCTGACTGGAAGTTTGTATTGTATTCTTTGGTCAACATCTTTCCATCACATACTCTCTCCCACCCCTTCACCTCCAGTGCCTGGTAACCACCATTCTCCTCTCTGTAAGAACTGCATTGTAAGTATCTATTAATTGTACATATTTGTAAATTCTTGCATTCTCAATACAGTATGCATCCCATGAAGAACTGGTGGGGAATAGGTTCAAATCAGATAGTTTAGTTATATCCTGTTGCTGTGGAAGAGATTGGGTGATTGAAATTTTAATATGAGCCAAGTAATATTCCAGCTTTTAAAAATTAACTTTTAAAGATAATCTAACCTTTCAGTTTGGTTATACTTTTGGATAATTGAAGTTTTGTATGTTTTCATTCTTACGAATATTTGCAAATGAATATAGTATTGACAAGAACCACTTTGCCTTGCCACATAATTCCACTAGCTTGAAGCTGGGTAAACTTGAAAAGTTCAGCATACTCTGATTTATACAACCCAGACCCTTTTGTAAATTACAGCGTGAGTAATAATAATCTTTCCTCCTTACTGACTGCAGGAGTGTCCCAGGGAAATTTACCTAGTCGGAATCCTGGACTCTCTGCTTACCATTCCTTTTGTTTTGGCTCCTCTAACTCATTTTCCTAATGCTCCCAAGTATTCCGTGGAATAAATCATATGTGGATGGATACATAATGTTGTAAGCCTTGTGCCTGTAACCTAAATTTGAGACTTCAGAAGTTATATGCCTTTCCTCTGTTATACTTTCTACCCGTAATATTGCATCCATTATATCATGCTATTACATTTAAAAAAAGCAAACATTTTGTGTCATATAATTATGTAAAAATTTCTCAAACTTAGTTTCTTATTTAGAACTAACGATTCCCTCACATTTAATCACCCTATTTCAAATATGCATACAAGCCCAAATGCCATACAACTGCCAAATCATTCTTGCCCTCCATCTCAGTATCTACTTTAATACTGGTAAAGCTTCTTTGGAATTCCCCTTTACTACCACTTTTGATGTCACATTCTGCCTGGCACCAGGGGGCCCTTAGTTGGGTACCTTACTTTCCCAACTTGAATTATTTGTATAACTTTGATCAAATATTATTTGGGTGATCATATTCTCCCAATTAATTTATTATACAGTGAACATAATATAAAAACTAAAATGGCCTCAACTCCTATTACAAGTGTTTTCATCATTCATATCATCATATGCTTTTACATAGTTGTGATTCTGGTGTAGACTAATCTTGAATTTTTTTTTTTTTTTTTTTCTTGAGACAGGGTTTCACTGTCTCCCAGGCTGGAGTGCAGTGGCATGATCTTGGCTCACTGCAACCGCTGCCTCCTGGGCTCAAGCGATTCTCCTGCCTCAGTCTCCTGAGCTGGGACTACAGGCATCTGCCACTGCGCCCAGCTGTTTTTGTAGAGAGGGGGTTTCACCATGTTGCTCAGGCTGTTCTCAAACTCCTGAGCTCAGGTGATCTGGCCGCCTCGGCCTCCCAAAATACTGGAATTACAGGCATGAGCCACCGCCCCCGGCCTAATCTTGAATCCTGAGCTTAAAATTTTAATACTTTTCAGTGTAGTATGGTCTTCATATTTCTCATGTCAATGGCAACACACTATTCCATTGCCTCTCAAAGTGCTGGAATTATAGACATGAGCCACTGTGCCTGGCTTTATGTCTTTAAAACAAAATCAAAAATCCCTGCAACAGTTTGTTTTCAATCCTCTCTTTCCCTTCATCAGCAAGCTTCTTTTGAGTACCTCCCTACTGGCTGGAGGGGTGTGGCTCACGCCTGTAATCCCAGCACTTTAGGAGGCCAAGGCGTGCCGATCGCCTGAGGTCAGGAGTTCGAGAGCCAGCCTGGCCAACATGGTGAAACCCCGTCTCAACTAAAAATACAAAAATTAGCCAGGCATGGTGGCGCGCAACTTTAGTTCAAGCTACTTGGGAGACTGAGGCACGAGAATCGCTTGAACCCGGGAGGGAGAGGTTGCAGTGAACCAATACCACACCGCTGCACTCCAGCCTGAGTGACAGAGTGAGACTCTGTCTCAAAAAAAAAAAAAAAAAAGTTCCTACTGGTTTTGCTTCTGGGTTTTGTTTGGTTTGTTTGTTTTTTTGAGATAGTCTCACTTTGTCGCCCAGGCTGGCGTGCAGTAGCACCACCAGGGCTCACTGCTGCCTGGACCTCCTGGGCTCAAGTGATCCTCCTGCCTGAGTCCTCTAAGTAGCTGGGACTACAGGTGCATGCCACCATAGCCAAATAATTTTTTTTTTTAATATTAGTGAAGACAAGGTCTCGCTGTCTCGCTATGTTGCCCAGGCTGGTCATGAACAACTGAGCTCAAGTGATCCTGCTGCCTTGGCTTCCCAAAGTGCTGGGATTACAGGCATGAGCTACTGTGCTCAGCCTTGGTTTTACTTCTTTTAATAAAAAGAACTTCACACCTCAGCTGTCTGCCACCTGACTCTTACTGTCATCACCCCACCTCTGAATTATTGTTCTGGGGCTTAATTTTATTTCTCTTACCCATTTGACACTGTTTACTACTTCCTTTTTCTGTCAGCTCTGTTAGCCTCTGGCTTTTGAGACCAGACCAGTTACTCAGCTCTTTGATCTCTCTCCTCCTGGACTCCTCTAACGCTGCTTTCTAAATGATCTGCATTTCTTAGGACTCTGCTCTTTTCTCTCCCCATTCCCTGAATAGTCACAGGATAATTTGTTTAACTGATAGCTCCAATTCAGAGTTCTTTTCTGAGAGCCAGACCTGTATTTCTAGTTGCATATTGGTCATTTTTACCTTTCTGATTCAAATGCCTCAGAGACTCATGTTCAAACCTGAACTCATGCTCTAGCTCCTCAGACTTTCCTTCATCTGTGTTTTGTATCATGTTTACAACGGACTTTCTCCACATGTCAGTCTACATTAACTCTTCTTGTCTCCTTTCACACTGTTGCTCCTGGCTGCTTGCTTCCTTCCTTCTCCCTTAACCGTTGTACTCATCATTTCCCAAACAATTATAGTCTCCTCTCACTGCTCACTTCATCTCCCTTCTCTGTCTCCTCTTGGTTATTGTATTTACCGCATTTGTTGTGACTGTGAATCTTCATCCACTTCTAGACCGTTAACTCTGCAGGCTGATACCATATGGTGTTATCATTTAAGTCTCATGCCTAGCAAGGTGTTTGGCAACCAGTGAGAAACAAATGATTAACAGGATCATTTGTCTGGGAAGCTTTCCCCAATACCAGGTTAGATGTTTGCGTTGTGAGCCTCTTTAGCAATCTCAGTTTTTTTCTATTAAAACAATTACCATGCTTTCTTATTCTTTTAAAAATCAGTCTTTTCACAACAGGCTACAAATTGTATAAGGTGAAGATTGTGGCTTTCTTGCCTACCCCAGTGCCCATATGAAAGGAGTTCAAATATTTTTTAAAAAGAATGAATTATATCACTAAATTGTGTTTTAAAAATTATATGGCTGTAAGCCTGCACCAGCATTGTGTGAGTGTACTTGGGGTCATCATAACCTTAGCATTATTGGGAATTATAATTTTATCACTTATTAAAATGATAGCTTTTTGTTGATTATTTGTTGAATGTATTTCCACATTTAGTTAGCTTTTTTCTTTTGTTCTGTATATCATCTATTTGATATTGATAGTTATCTATTGAATTTTTAATGTTTATTTTATGAACTCTTAGAATAATATGTTCGGTTTTGCCATTGATTGCAAATAAGTTTCTAATTTGTTTTTTTATTTTACTTTCATTATACAAACTCTAAATTTTAGAATTATCAAAATATCAGAAATATTTTGTTTTAATGTACTAATTTTTCTATGACTTTAGTTTTTAAAAAAATCAGTTCTTTAAAATATTGAATCTTCTTTATGGTGGGAATTGATTTTAGATTTGTGAATTCTGTGGTCATAGGTGAATTTAATATTAGCTGTATTATTTTGAGTAGTTCATACCAGTTTTAAGAGATATATTTTCACTGGTTATTTAAAATTATATTTTAGAAGTTAATACTTATATTTCATGTTGGATTTTTAGATTTTTTTAATGCTTTATATAAAAATCCTAGCTTTTTTTTTTAAGTATTTTGTTTTGAAAGTGTTTTATATGTAACTCATGAAAGTAATTTTGCCTGGTATGATAATTTAGCACAACTCTTTTTTTTTTTTCTTTCTTTTAGTCCATTATGTGTTGCTGGGAACAACTCTTTTAATAGTAAGAGAAAAAGGTGTTGTTTTTCTTTTTAAGCATAACAGGTTAAGCAAAAAAGCTTTCCATTTTGTTCAACTGCAAGTTTTTAAAGATAGCTTCATGGCAGTTCTTTTTTAGTTTTAGTAGATGGTTATTTGAAATTTAATTGTTTAATTTGACTTTATATACTTCAATGGTAGTTTGTAGTCTAATTATGTATCTCTTTAAATAGGGAATACTAATTTAATAATAGGCTATAAGAACACACTGGAGATCATACTGTGAAATAAAACAAAATCAAAAAAGTTATTATGATTCCTTTATAGCAGAAATTTACTTAAAATAAGAAGTCAATTCTTAAGACTTAGAAGTTTATTAACAGTATTTGCATCTAAATTTGTTATGTAAAGCATTCTTTTTTTATGATAAACCCCTACCTCCTAAATTTTTACTTTGATAAATTTCAAATATGCAAAGGTTACAAGAATAGTACAGTAAGCATACCATACATTTTTTACCTAGATATTTATTATTAACATTTTACCACTTTTCTTTTTCTGCCAAACCATTTGAGAGACAGCAGGCATTAGGACACACCCCTAAATACATAGATTCAGCATGTATCTCCTAAGAACAGGGACATACTTTAATACAGCCATAATTGTCACTTTAAGTTATTTAACACTTTATAGAATATATATTCCTATTCCTATTTTCTTATTTTCCTGTTAATGTCCTTTGTATCTTTTCCTCCCCATTCAGGACCCAGTCAAGGACCATACATTGCATTCAACTCAGGTTGAGTTAGTCTCCTTTATTCTAGAACTGTTCCCCAGCCTTTTTTGGGGTGAAAAGGGGTGCTGTTATTGGTATCTTTTGTGATATTTTTGTTTTTGTTTTGCAGAATGTCCCTTAATTTTGATTTGCCGACTGTCTACTTATTATTAGATTCAGGATTTTTGGCAGGATTACTGCATGGGATATTGTGTTCTTCTTTGGGCATGCTATCAGGAGACATTTGATGCCTTAAGTTTTAATATTATTAAGTTTGATCACATGGTTAAGGTGATGTTCTTGCATTTCTACACTGTAACAGTGCTTTTATCTCCTTTATAATATATGGGGGAAATATTTTGTTAGTACGTAGTTTTAGCATCCACTGATTATTTTTGTCCAGATTATCTGTTACAATGGTGATTGCAAAATAGTGAATTTTATAATTCTCTCATTTCTTCTGCATTTATTGGTTGGTATTCATCTTTAAAAAAAGAAGAGTTCCCTCTTCTTACCCCTTTATTTAATATCATTTTTTGACGATGTGTTCACTTTTTATTTATTTTTTTGAAAGAGTCTCGCTCTGTTGCCCAGACTGTAGTGCAATGGCATGATTCCAGCTCACTGTAACCTCTGCCTCCTGGGTTCATGCAATTCTCCTGTCTCAGCCTCTCGAATAGCTGGGACTACAGGTGTGTGCCACCATGCCCGGCTAATTATTGTATTTTTAATAGAGACGGGGTTTCGCCATGTTGGCCAGCCTGGTCTCAAACTCTTGACCTCAAATGATTCACCCACCTCGGCCTCCCAAAGTGCTGGGATTACAGGTGTGAGCCACCGTGCCCGGCCAGGGTTCACTTTGTAAATTTAATACACTATCATTCATTACTGTCATACTTTTCATACTCAGGTTATGCCAGCTTTAACCATGGGAACCCTCAGATATTATCTTTGAATCATCTGACGAATTTCTTCTAATTGTATATCTGTAGAAAAATAGGCTTGACTTTAAAATCTCCTCTTCTATTACATTTCTTTAAATCCAGATGGACTTTTCTTTTGTTCATATTGTGACCGAAAGAAAGATTTTTGTAGACCCTGGCAAGATTCCGCCATTCAATTGGGGCCAACATTATTTGAATGACTGCTTCCCTGTAACTGCTTAGAAGGTTTTAGTTATCACTTCCTATCATATAGAAGCTTACTTTAGATTTTTTTCCAGTTGCAATTGATTTTCCTGTCTTTTGGGTCTAGGGGTAGGGTGGTTGTCAGAGACATCTTTTAACCGTGTTTTTTGTGGTCAGTTTAGGAGTTGAGCCTGTACTGTATATAATACTTTCACTAAAAAGGATCCCAAACAGAAGAGGAAATGTGATGTAGTTGACAGTACTCCTGTAGAAATTGGTGAAAGGAGTGCTGGCAGTGTGACCAAAACAATCCTTGCTGAAATACCTGGGAGGAGTTCCTGAGACTGATTTTTAGAGGGATTTTTTTTTTTTTCCTTGAGAAACATTTGGGTATATTATTATTTAAGACATCGCCCAGCACCCAGGCTGGAGTGCAGTGTGGCATGCTCACAGCTCACTGCAACGTCGGACTCCTGGACTCGAGCAACCCTCCTACCTCAGCCTTTAAGTAGCTAGGAGTACAGGCGTGCATCACCACACCCAGCTAGTTTTTTTGTGTGTGTGGATACTGGGTCTCGCTGTGTTACCCAGGTTGGTCTCAAACTCTGGGCCTCAAGCGGTCCTCTCAACTTGGCCTCCCAAAGTACTGGAATTACAGGTGTTAGCCACCATGCCCGGCCTTGAGGCTAATGTTTCTTTAGGTTTAATATACTTCTTGTCTGTGTATATAGCTGATGCTCTACAAAACAGCATATGACTATTATGCCTTACTTTTAAAATCTTCTCTTGGCCTTTGACTTTGGGGCAAGATCTAGCTATGGGCCAGTAAAGCAATCCGAGCCTGTTATTGATTCTTAAATCATGATGCTGTAATGACAAGTAGGATCTGGAGGCAGTTACTGGAAAGATGAGGTAATTTAGAATTCTCTAAAAATTGTCATGTCTTGATTGCCTAGTTTTTAACTTGTCATTGTGGCTTCCACTGTTTTTGAGATGAACTGGATTCATGTCCCCTCTTTATAGACGTAGAAAGAGTAGAAAGTCTCCCCTCCATCATTAGTTTCAGTGTTATGAACTGATGGGCTCAGCACAAAAGAGGGCAAAGGACAGAGGGTACAAACAAGGGAAGAGACATTGCTTCTTTCTAATTACAGCCAACAGAAAATAATAGAGAGCTTTAAAAAGACCCAAACTGGCCAGGTGCGCTGGCTCATGCCTGTAATCCCAGCACTTTGGGAGGCTGAGGTGGGAGGATCCCTTGAGGCCAGGAGTTCGAGACTAGCCTGGGCAACATAGTGAGACCCCATCTCTACAAAAAATAAAAAAAAAGATTAGTTGGACATGGTGGTCGCACATCTGTGGTCCCAGCTGCTTGGGAGGCTGAGATGGGAAGATGGCTTGAGCCTGGGAGGTTGAGGCTGCAGTGAGCTATGAATGCACCACTGTACTCCATCATGGGTGATAGAGTGAGACCCTGTCTCTAAAAAGAAGGAAAAAAAAGTAAAAAGACCGAAGCTAATGCTAACACCAGACGTGAAAGAAGTGGCACAGCAGAAGCAAGAGGTATTAAAAGTTACTTAAGCCTGTTGGTATCCACTGCTGCACTGTGTTAGAAGTAGATTCTAAAGACATACTAGTGTTTGACTAGCATGTTTTAGACCATCTCAGAAGTGTTTACATCTTCCTAGATATTTGGTAAATGGGAATGAATGTGTGTTATTAATGTGAAGGACATTTTTTCTTGTAGTCAGCATGGTTTAAGATTGAATGTAATACTGAAACATTTATGGATGAAATTATGACTGGGTTTGCTTTACAGTGAACTGTTGGTTGGTGAGAGGTGGTATGGGGAGAGGTTTCATATGAAGTAAGAATGTTTTTAAGGGTTTTTTTTTAATAACAATGTTTTTAAAAAATTGAATGAAAGACCTTCAAATCTATCTTTCTCAATGGGTTCCTTGAGAGAGTTAAGCTCTGATTTCCTAAGGCATCTAATGTGAGTAATGAATTAATTTATTTACTGGCAGCCACAGTGGTGCTAGTTATGTATTCTTGGGAGAATTGAGAAAGTTGTCATTTTTTGTGTGTTCTGTAGTTTGAAAGGAGGAAAATTGGTGAGAAGAGCTGGTTGAGAGTGTGGAAATACGTGATTGATTCAACATTTTTAAAATGTTTTGTAATTTGATGTTTGCCCTTTTCTTATTTTTTAAATAAATACATTCTTTTTTTTGAGACAGGATCTTGCTCTGTCTGGAGTAAAGTGGCACAATTACAGCTCACTGCAGCTTCTATCTTCTGGGCTCAAAATATCCTCCCATGTCAGCCTCCTGAGTAGCCGGGGCTACAGGTGCATGCCACCACTCCTGGCTAATTTTTGTATTTTTTGTAGGGATGGGATCTCGGTATGTTGCCTAGGCTGGTCTTGAACTCCTGGACTGAAGTGACCCTGCTGCCTTGGTCTCTCAAAGCTCTGGGATTACAGACTTGGCCTAGTTTGTTTTATAAATAAAAATTTTGAACTTCAGTTTTTCTTTCTTTCTTTTTTTTTTCCTTCCCTCCCTCCCTTTCCCTTTGCCTTTCCCTTTCTCTTTCTTCTCTTTCTGTCCTTTCTTTCTTCTCTGTCTTTCACAGGGTCTGGCTCTGTTGCCCAGGCTGGAGTATAGTGATGCAGTCATAGCTTACTGCAGCATTGAACTCTTGGTTTCAAGTGATCCTCCTGCCTTAGCTTCCCGTGTAGCTGGGACTGCAGGCATGAGTCACAACATCTGGCTTTGAGCTTCACTTTTTGAGCATGATGAAAGTACACATTGTAAACATATACTAAAACTGTTGAAAAATGTGGTTTTCTTTCCTATTAGGTACAGTCTGAAAATACAGCCTGTTGAGAAAATGCATCTAGCTGTAGTTGCCTGTGGTGAAAGACTGGAAGAAACTATGACCATGTTGAAGTCAGCTATCATTTTCAGCATCAAACCTCTTCAATTCCATATTTTTGCTGAAGATCAGCTACATCATAGCTTTAAAGGCAGAGTAAGTATTTGAGACATAGTCAAGGTTGTAGAGTTGAATATTTAATAATATACTATAATAGAATGTTGTTGTAATAGTCTGTTCACATTGCTAGAAATAACTACCTGAGACTTGGTAATTTATAAAGAAAAGTTTAATTGACTCACAGTTCAGCATTGCTGGAGAGGCCTCAGGAAACTTAGAATCATGGCAGAAGGCAAAGGGGGAAGTAAGGCATGTCTTACATGGCAGCAGAAGAGAGAGAAAGAGAAAGAAGACCACACTTTTAAACCATGAGACCTCATGAGAACTGATGGTTATCACAAGAACAGTAAGGGGGAAACGGCCCCCATGATCGAGTCATCTCCCACTAGGTCCCTCCCTTGACACGTGGGAATTACAATTTGAGATGAGATTTGAGTGGCAACACAGAGCCAAACCATATCAGTTGTTTTATTTCTTAATTGCACAAAAATATTTATTCTGTAACACTGCCCTTGTAAGTGGGGAGTGCTCCTTGAACCACTTCCATCTGAGTCCAGATCTAACGTGAAAGAGGAAGGTTCATTTTTGAACAGCAGTGGGCTACTTAAAAGTAAGTTCTTTGTCAAAAATGGAGGTTTTATTTTAGTGACTCTAGTTCCAGGATGTTTAGTCATAGGACTGAGAAATCCTATGATTTATTTTGTCTATATCCTTTCCTTGGGAGTGCCTTAATCAGAGCTTATATAAAGGTTTTAATCCTGTTTTGAGAGGAGAGAATTCTTGATTAATAATATGGCGGGAAGTGGCTTCTGGTTCTGATAAGAAAGTTATTTATTTTGGTTTTGTATTAGTTAAAATCAATTTGGCAGCAGTGGCAGAAAACCCAAAATAACAGTGGCTTAAACAGGATTGAAGTTTATTTCTCTCTCCCATAAAAGTAGGTAGTCTGGATTATATGGCAATTCTTTATCTTCAGATACTCTGGCTTCGTCTTACTGTGGCTGAGCCATCTTTAACATGAGGCTTCTGCTTCATGGTCCATGATGACTACTCAGACTCCAACCATTGCACCCATATTCTATTCAGAGAGGGAGTGAAGAAGGGCAGTATCCTTAAGGGTACTTTCTAGAAGTCATTGTGACATTTCTGCCAGTATCCCATTGGTCTGAATTTAGTCATATGACCATGCCTAGCTGTTACAGTGGAATATATACTCTTTAATCAGGTCAGCCTTGTAAGTTCCTTAACAACAACAACAACAAAATATTATTGTACAATAAGAGAACAGATAGAGGCAGAAGAACATATAAGAAAAAGAAAACTCACCTGAAATCTCACTACCTTTTGTTCTGAGATGGTGGTAAAGGTGATGCTAATGATCATTCATATTTTCTCTTTCCTCCCTCTCTATTGTCTGTTTACATCTATCCACTTAATTAAGCTTTTAAATTCATTTGGATTTTTATGCTTGGTCTATGTAAAAAATATATTTGATGTTTTTTTCAGGTTAAATCAGTTCATTTTGCATGTCAAGTGCAAAAATACTAATTATGAGCTCAGATCTTTCAGTTTTCTGCCAAAAACGTTTATACTTTTTGGCAGAAAACTAAAAGGTATAAAAGTTTTCTTACTGTTATAAGTGGTATATGAAAGTATACCTTCTTACTGTTTAAAAATATTTTTAGTATCTGTATTTTTGTTAGATAATTTTATGATCTTGATCTCTTTACCTGGATTTTTTTTTAAATTTTATTATTATTATACTTTAAGTTTTAGGGTACATGTGCATGATGTGCAGGTTTGTTACATATGTATACATGTGCCATTCTGGTATGCTACACCCATTAACTCATCATTTAGCATTAGGTATGTCTCCTAATGCTATCCCTCCCCCCTCCCCCAACCCCACAACAGTCCCCGATGTGTGATGTTCCCCTTCCTGTGTCCATGTGTTCTCATTGTTCAATTCCCACCTATGAGTGAGAACATGTGGTGTTTGGTTTTTTGTCCTTGTGATAGTTTGCTGAGAATGATGGTTTCCAGCTTCATCCATGTCCCTACAAAGGACATGAACTCATCATTTTTTATGGCTGCATAGTATTCCATGGTGTATATATGCCACATTTTCTTAATCCAGTCTATCATTGTGGGACATTTAGGTTGGTTCCAAGTCTTTGCTATTGTGAATAGTGCCACAATAAACATACATGTGCATGTGTCTTTATAGCAGCATGATTTATAATCCTTTGGGTATGTACGCAGTAATGGGATGGCTGGGTCAAATGGTATTTCTAGTTCTAGATCCCTGAGGAATCACCACAATGACTTCCACAATGGCTGAACTAGTTTACAGTCCCACCAACAGTGTCAAAGTGTTCCTATTTCTCCACATCCTCTCCAGCACCTGCTGTTTCCTGACTTTTTAATGATTGCCATTCTAACTGGTGTGAGATGGTATCTCGTTGTGGTTTTGATTTGCATTTCTCTGATGGCCAGTGATGGTGAGCATTTTTTCATGTGTTTTTTGTCTGCATAAATGTCTTCTTTTGAGAAGTGTCTGTTGATATCCTTCGCCCACTTGTTGATGGGGTTGTTTTTTTCTTGTAAATTTGTTTTGAGTTAATTGTAGATTCTGGATATTAGCCCTTTGTCAGATGAGTAGCTTGCAAAAATTTTCTCCCATTCTGTAGGTTGCCGGTTCACTCTGATGGTAGTTTCTTTTGCTGTGCAGAAGCTCTTTAGTTGAATTAGATCCCATTTGTCAATTTTGGCTTTTGTTGCCATTGCTTTTGGTGTTTTAGACATGAAGTCCTTGCCCATGCCTATGTCCTGAATGGTATTGCCTAGGTTTTCTTCTAGGGTTTTTATGGTTTTAGGTCTAACATGTAAGTCTTTAATCCATCTTGAATTAATTTTTGTGTAAGGTGTAAGGAAGGGATCCAGTTTCAGCTTTCTACGTATGGCTAGCCAGTTTTCCCAGCACCATTTATTAAATAGGGAATCCTTTCCCCATTGCTTGTTTTTGTCAGGTTTCTCAAAGATCAGATAGTTATAGATATGCGGCATTATTTCTGAGGGCTCTGTTCAGTTCCATTGGTCTATATCTCTGTTTTGGTACCAGTACCATGCTGTTTTGGTTATTGTAGCCTTGTAGTATAGTTTGAAGTCAGGTAGCATGATGCCTCCAGCTTTGTTCTTTTGGCTTAGCATTGACTTGGCGACGCAGGCTCTTTTTTGGTTCCATATGAACTTTAAAGTAGTTTTTCCAATTCTGTGAAGAAAGTCATTGGTAGCTTGATGGGGATGGCATTGAATCTATAAATTACCTTGGGCAGTATGGCCATTTTCATGATATTGATTCTTCCTACCCATGAGCATGGAATGTTCTTCCATTTGTTTGTATCCTCTTTTATTTCATTGAGCAGTGGTTTGTAGTTGTCCTTGAAGAGGTCCTTCACATCCCTTGTAAGTTGGATTCCTAGGTATTTTCTTCTCTTTGAAGCAATTGTGAATGAGAGTTCACTCATGATTTGGCTCTCTAGTTGTCTGTTATTGCTGTATAAGAATGCTTGTGATTTTTGCACATTGATTTTGTATCCTGAGAATTTGCTGAAGTTGCTTATCAGCTTGAGGAGTTTTTGGGCTGAATGATGGGGTTTTCTAGATATACAATCATGTCATCTGCAAACAGGAACAATTTGACTTCCTCTTTTCCTAATTGAATGCCCTTTATTTCCTTCTCCTGCCTGATTGCCCTGGCCAGAACTTCCAACACTATGTTGAATAGGAGTGGTGAGAGAGGGCATCCCTGTCTTGTGCCAGGTTTCAAAGGGAATGCTTCCAGTTTTTGCCCATTCAGTATGATATTAGCTGTGGGTTTGTCATAGATAGCTCTTATTATTTTGAGATACGTCCCATCAATACCTAATTTATTGAGAGTTTTTAGCATGAAGCGTTGTTGAATTTTGTCAAAAGCCTTTTCTGCATCTATTGAGATAATCATGTGGTTTTTGTCTTTGGTTCTATTTATATGCTGGATTACGTTTATTGATTTCCATATGTTGAACCAGCCTTGCATTCCAGGGATGAAGCCCACTTGATCATGGTGGATAAGCTTTTTGATGTGCTGCTGGATTCGGTTTGCCAGTATTTTATTGAGGATTTTTGCATCGATGTTCATCAAGGATATTGGTCTAAAATTCTCTTTTTTGGTTGTGTCTCTGCCAGGCTTTGGTATCATGATGATGCTGGCCTCATAAAATGAGTTAGGGAGGATTCCTTCTTTTTCTATTGATTGGAATAGTTTCAGAAGGAATGGTACCAGCTCCTCTTTGTACCTCTGGTAGAATTCGGCTGTGAATCCATCTGGTCCTGGACTTTTTTTGGTTGGTAAGCTATTGATTATTGCCTCAATTTCAGAGCCTGTTGTTGGTCTATTCAGAGATTCAACTTCTTCCTGGTTTAGTCTTGGGAGGATGTATGTGTCGAGGAATTTATCCATTTCTTCTAGATTTTCTAGTTTATTTGCGTAGAGGTCTTTATAGTATTGTCTGATGGTAGTTTGTATTTCTGTGGGATTGGTGGTGATATCCCCTTTATCATGTTTTATTGCGTGTATTTGATTCTTCTCTCTTTTCTTCTTTGTTAGTCTTGCTAGCGTTCTATCAGTTTTGTTGATCTTTTCAAAAAACCAGCTCCTGGATTCATTAATCTTTTGACGTGTTTTTTGTGTCTCTGTTTCCTTCAGTTCTGTTCTGATCTTTGTTATTTCTTGCCTTCTGCTAGGTTTTGAATGTCTTTGCTCTTGCTTTTCTAGCTCTTTTAATTGTGATGTTAAGGTGTCAATTTTAGACCTTTCCTGCTTTCTCTTGTGGGCATTTAGTGGTGTAAATTTCCCTCTACACACTGCTTTGAATGTGTCCCAGAGATTCTGGTATGTTGTGTCTTTGTTCTGGTTGGTTTCAAAGAACATGTTTATTTCTGCCTTCATTTCATTATTTACCTAGTAGTCATTCCGGAGCAGGTTGTTCAGTTTCCATGTAGTTGAGTGGTTTTGAGTGAGTTTCTTAATCCTGAGTTCTAGTTTGATTGCACTGTGGTCTGAGAGACAGTTTGTTATAATTTCTGTTCTTTTACATTTGCTGAGGAATGCTTTACTTCCAACTATGTGGTCAATTTTGGAGTAGGTGTGGTGTGGTGCTGAAAAGAATGTATATTCTGTTGATTTGGGGTGGAGAGTTCTGTAGATGTCTATTAGGTCCGCTTGGTGCAGAGCTGAGTTCAATTCCTGGGTATCCTTGTTAACTTTCTGTCTCGTTGATCTGTCCAATGTTGACAGTGGGGTGTTAAAGTCTCCCATTATTGTGTGGGAGTCTAAGTCTCTTTGTAGGTCACTAAGGACTTGCTTTATGAATCTGGGTGCTCCTGTATTGGGTGCATATATATTTAGGATAGTTAGCTCTTCTTGTTGAATTGATCCGTTTACCATTATGTAATGGCCTTCTTTGTCTCTTCTGATCTTTGTTGGTTTAAAGTCTGTTTTATCAGAGACTAGGATTGCAACCCCTGCCTTTTTTTGTTTTCCATTTGCTTGGTGGATCTTTCTCCATCCTTTTATTTTGAGCCTATGTGTGTCTCTGCCCGTGAGATGGGTTTCCTGAATACAGCACACTGATGGGTCTTGACTCTTTATCCAATTTGCCAGTCTGTGTCTTTTAATTGGAGCATTTAGCCCATTTACATTTAAGGTTAATATTGTTATGTGTGAGTCTGATCCTGTCATTACGATGTTAGCTGGTTATTTTGCTCGTTAGTTCATGTAGTTTCTTCCTAGCTTTGATGGTCTTTACATTTTGGCATGATTTTGCTGTGGCTGGTACCGGTTGTTCCTTTCCATGTTTAGTGCTTCCTTCAGGAGCTCTTTTAGGGCAGGCCTGGTGGTGACAAAATCTCTCAGCATTTGCTTGTCTGTAAAGTATTTTATTTCTCCTTCAGTTATGAAGCTTAGTTTGGCTGGATATGAAATTCCGGGTTGAAAATACTTTTCTTTAAGAATGTTGAATGTTGGTCCCCACTCTCTTCTGGCTTGTAGAGTTTCTGCCGAGAGATCCGCCCTTAGTCTGATGGGCTTCCCTTTGAGGGTAACCCGACCTTTCTCTCTGGCTGCACTTCCTTCATTTCAACTTTGGTGAATCTGACAATTCTGTGTCTTGGAGTTGCTCTTCTTGAGGAGTATCTTTGTGGCGTTCTCTGTATTTCCTGAATCTGAATGTTGGCCTGCCTTGTTGGATTGGGGAAGTTCTGCTGGATAATATCCTGCAGAGTGTTTTCCAACTTGGTTCCATTCTCTCCGTCACTTTCAGGTACACCAATCAGACGTAGATTTGGTCTTTTCACATGGTCCCATATTTCTTGGAGGCTGTGTTCGTTTCTTTTTATCTTTTTTCTCTAAACTTCTCTTCTCGCTTCATTTCATTCGTTTCGTCTTCCATCACTGATACCCTTTCTTCCAGTTGGTCGCATTGGCTACTGAGGCTTCTGCATTTGTCACATAGCTCTCATGCCTTGGTTTTCAGCTCCATCAGGTCCTTTAAGGACTTCTCTGCATTGGTTATTCTGTTTATCCATTCATCTAATTTTTTTTCAAAGCTTTTAATTTCTTTGCCATTGGTTCGAATTTCCTCCTGTAGCTTGGAGTAGTTTGATCTTCTGAAGCCTTCTCTCAACTTGTCAAAGTCATTCTCCATCTAGCTTTGTTCCATTGCTGGTGAGGAGCTGCATTCCTTTGGAGGAGGAGAGGCACTCTGCTTTTTAGAGTTTCCAGTTTTTCTGCTCTGTTTTTTTCCCCATCTTTGTGGTTTTATCTACCTTTGGTCTTTGATGATGGTGACGTACAGAGGGGTTTTTGGTGTGGATGTCCTTTCTGTTTGTTAGTTTTCCTTCTACCAGACAGGACCCTCAGCTGCAGGTCTGTTGGAGTTTGGAGTTTGCTAGAGGTCCACTCCAGACCCTGTTTGCCTGGGTATCAGCAGCAGTGGCTGCAGAACAGCAGATATTGGTGAACCGCAAATGCTGCTGCCTGATGGTTCCTTTGGAAGTTTTGTCTCAGAGGAGTACCTGGCTGTGTGAGGTGTCAGTCCGCCCCTACAGTGGGGTGCCTCCCAGTTAGGCTACTCAGGGTTCAGGGACCCCACTTGAGGAGGCAGTCTGCCCGTTCTCACATCTGAAGCTGCGTGCTGGGAGAACCACTACTCTCTTCAAAGCGGTCAGAGAGGGACATTTAAGTCTGCAGAGGTTACTGCTGTCTTTTTGTTTGTCCGTGCCCTGCCCCCAGAGGTGGAGCCTACAGAGGCAGGCAGGCCTCCTTGAGCTGTGGTGGGCTCCACCCAGTTCGAGCTTCCTGGCCACTTTGTTTACCTAATCAAACAACTAACTTGGCAATGGCAGGCGCCCCGCCTCCAGCCTGGCTGTCGCCTTGCAGTTTGATCTCGGACTGCTGTGCTAGCAGTGAGCCAGACTCCGTGGGCATAGGACCCTCTGAGCCAGGTGAGGGATATAATCTCCTGGTGTGCCGTTTTTTAAGCCCATTGGAAAAGCGCAGTATTAGGGTGGGAGTGACCCGATTTTCCAAGTGCTGTCTGTCACCCCTTTCTTTGACTAGGAAAGGGAATTCCCTGACCCCTTGCTCTTCCCGGGTGAGGCGATGCCTCGCCCCGGTTCGGCTCGCGCACGGTGCGCTGCAGCCACTGTCCTGCACCTACTGTCTGGCACTCCCCAGTGAGATGAACCCGGTACCTCAGTTGGAAATGCAGAAATCACCTGTCTTCTGCGTTGCTGACGCTGGGAGCTGTCGACCAAAGCTGTTCCTATTCGGCCATCTTGGCTCCTCCCTGGATTGTTTTTTAAAATATTGAGGAATTAATCTTGTCCTAGGGGTTAAGAGAATAGTAATAGACTGCTGCCAATTTTGGGAGTCTTTGAAAATATAATAGAAAAGTAAAACATTTATTGCATTATCTTAGGTGCAGCCTCTGTGTTGTGTTTACACCTGGCTGAATTATTGTTTGTGTAACATATACTATATTTTTGAACTTAGTTTTCGTTTGACTGTAATAATCACTGAGAATGTTTGGTTTTGCTTTTGATGAAAGAATATCAAATATTTTATGGAACATGCTTTTAGTACATGAAAGAGCACTATTATATGTTAAATGAAAGTGACTAAGATTTTATTTTGAAGTTGGTATTGAAAAGATCTTTAAGTGATTAATAAGTGGAGCAGGGAAATGACAGTGCTAGTATTTTACAATAATTAGTAGATAGCTGGTTGTGGTGGCATGCACCTGTAGTCCCAGCTACTTGGGAGGCCTGAGGTGGGAGGATCACCCAAGCCTGGGAAGTCAAGGCTGCAGTGAACCATAATCATGTTACTGCACTTCAGCCCAGTCTGGGTGACAGAGTGAGACCTTGTCTCAAAACAATAATAAAATAAAATAATCAGAGACACCAAAGCAGAGTGTTGGAAGTAAAGGCATTCCCTTAAACTATATTGGAAGATATTAGTGTTTTAGAAATGACTTAAACACTATCATAATTCAAAAGAGATTTTATTCAGCCTGTACATAAACTACTTAGTTTTTTCCCCCCCATAGATTGTTTCTTAATGCTCCTCAGGAAATTTGAATCAGTAATTCTGTTGAAATAAGAATGAGAGATAATACTTAAACTGAATTAGAAACAATTCAGTATCTTGAAATGCATTTAGGGTACTAAGTGTAAACATGTTCATCATAGATTTTCAGATACATTTTGCTTTTTGTAATAATTTTTAAAAAATTGGCATTGGCTATGTATCAGAATATTCTCAGAAATATTTAGGCATATTAAAGCTATGCATTGATGGACAAATATTTTTTAACTAGTTTCATATTTGGTCTGACTTTGAATGTAAGCATCTTTCATATCGTATATATGGTGGTAATAATATTAGTGCTTAATTTTTCTGATTTTAGCTTGTTAATGGATTAAGAGAATTTACACATTAGGTAAAGTTGAGGAAGACAAACTTGCGAGGGTCTTTCACCTTTCTGATTTTGGGAGTTGGACCCTGATAACTTTCATTATGCTTCAGATCTTAATGGGGAAGTCTGGGATCTAATTTTGATTTTTAGATTTTAAATGAAAACAAATACAGTGGTGGAACAGAAGAATCTTTCCTTTAATTTTACAGCATAAAATGTATATTATCTTAATTTTTAGCTCTTTTGTTTTATAATCTGTTGTTTTATGATTTTACAGAGAAAATTCAGAGTGAAACTAAACAGTTTTTTTTTAAATTGTTTTAGCTTGACAACTGGTCATTTCTACAAACATTTAATTATACGTTATACCCCATAACCTTTCCAAGTGAGAATGCAGCAGAGTGGAAAAAACTCTTTAAACCATGTGCTTCGCAGAGATTGTTCTTGCCGGTAAGTTTTTTCCCCTAGTGTCTTTTTTTTTTTTTTTTTTTTAAATTTGAACCTTACTTTTACACATGAGTCTCTGAAGAGTTACATATAATTCCAGTTAAATAATTAAATTAGTAAATAGAAATCAATGCATGTACTATCTTCCTTTTGAACATGAAAAAATATTCCTGTGGAACAAGTAAAATAAAAACCCCTGTTAAGAATGAAAAATTTTTAGTAATTTCTGTTGAGATACCAGTTTAATATATTCAGTTGCGGTGAACTCTTTTATCTGTAACAAGGAATAGAGGTTGCCAGGTCTTAATGGAGCCAAGTCTGTTGCCAGCAGAAATGCGGTGGCGTTATCACCTTCAACTTGTAGGCAGCATTTAGAGTTTGAGAAATGAGGTAGAGTGCTTCATTAAATAGCAATTTGTGTCTTATACCAAGCCAATTTATCTATTGTAACTGATACTTAAACAGAAACAAATTTAAGGCATATGAACTCAAAGGGAAAATGGGAACTATTTATTCAGTGGGGCTGTTCTTTGGTAATGTTCTATGATAAACCTTGATTTTTTTTTCTTTTTTATATACAAATGTTCTGAAGCAAGGTTACCTCTTTCATTTTGATTTGATTTTACCCAGTTTTAAAATTCACAGTAGTTGTTTAGACCATTATGATATTTAAATACTTACAGTTTTGCAGCTTAAATACATGGAGAATACTTATGGTAGAAATACTGAATTTAAGAAGCACACAAGGTTCCGGAAATTATATAAATTATGGGGAAGAACCTTCAGTTACTTCTTATTGCTAAGTGGATTAAGGGAATTCCTAGCTTATTAAGAATATGGTTTATTGAATCCAGGATATCTGTAAGATTAAGTTATAATATTGATAAAAAAGTCAGTCTAACCAGTATGTTTGTTGCTCCGCCCTAAAAAGTTATATCCTAGGATCTTTCTCTTCTCTTCCATTGTAAAAAGCACACAAATAAGGGATTAAGATTGGTTAAAAAAAAAAGTTTTAGATACTTCACGTAGGTTTTGTAAGTTTTTGAAATAAGTTTTATATTGAATGACTGCAGTGTCAGTCATTTAATTAATATGTGAGTGCCTAGTTTTTGTCAGTCATCTATACTGAAGTGCTGGGTATATAGGAATGAATAGAACACACAGGTTTCCTCTTTTCATAGAGCTTGTTGTCTGATGTGGGAGACAGACATTAAATAATCACACAAATAGTATTGAAAAAACAATAAGAGATGAAAGAAAGATGTGAGGTTTTGGCCATTTCTCTGCCATTTTGTTATGGTACTTTATTAACACTTGGCACCATGGCACTTTGTTAACACTTTATTAACAAGTTTAATTGTTGATGTTGTTACATGAAATTTGCCAGATCATTTAATGATGTAATCTAGTTAAATCCCTAAATGGAATTTTAAGTACAAGAACTACTTGAAACCTGTCAAATTGACCTCATACTTTATTGTTAATTCTAATCGTTTTAACCAGATTTAAGTAAATTGGTGCTTTATTTTTTTATAGTGATAAACTTTTTTGCTGAGTTTCTCTTCCTTTAAAATAGATGCATGAAAAGAACTAATGTAAACTGTGCCAATGCCTTTTTCAACTGAAAGGAATCAGAACTATACATAGGTGATTATGATTTAACCATGTCTGATTTCCAGCTGGTAGTGGCTCCCAGCATTGAACTTGAAGCTTTATGTAGCTTCTTCCTACTCTGCTAAGAATATAGTAATCTGTAAACAGATGTGACACAGATGTAGAATGTTGCTATTAAAAACAATTCTAACTCCACCACCCCTCAAAAAAGTGAGATAGACATACAGACTCCACCCAGCCCCCTCCCCCAACACCTTTTTTTTTGAGACAGAGTCTTGCTCTATTGCCTAGTCTGGAGTGTACTGGCGCAGTCTTGGCTCACTGCAACCTCTGCCTCTCAGGCTAAAGCGGTTCTCCTGCCCCAGCCTCCCGAGTAGCTTGGATTACAGGCATGCGCCACCACACCTGGCTAATTTTTGTATTTTTAGTAGAGACAGCGTTTTGCCGTATTGGTCAGGCTGGTCTCGAAGCCCTGACCTCAGGTGATCTGCCCGCCTCAGCCTCCCAAAGTGCTAGGATTACAGGCGTGAGCCACCATGCCTGGCCACAGATTCCCTTTTAGTTGAGGTCTTTGACCAAGTGAACCTTCCCTACTCAGGCCCTGCAGTCAGCCATCAGATTTTTTTGCCCATCCTGATATTAAATCAGCTGATAGTGAGATAAGGGAGGAATGAGGTGATTTCAGCCTAGTAGCTGCTCATTAAGGTGATGGCTTTAGTTGCAGGAAGAAGTAGCAGCTTTGAAAAGTAGCAGAACTAGGATCAAGCTCCTATTATGTCTTAACTAAAAAGGTTTAGATTCACCTATTTATTGAATCTTACTAATAAACCAGGATAGGCGGTAAATTTAAATTTGTAGGAGTCAGAACCTAAAGTTCATGGGTAAGGCAGAAATGAAAAATTATCCTTGATTGGGCACAGTGGCTCGTGCCTGTAATCCCAGCACTTGGGGAGGCCGAGATGGGTGAATCATTTGAGGTCAGGAGTTTAAGACCAGCTTGGCCAAGATGGTGAAACCCCATCTCTACTAAAAATATGAAAAATTAGCCGGGTGTGGTGATGCATGCCTGTAATCCCAGTTACTCAGGAGGCTGAGGCAGGAGAATGCCTAGAACCCAGGAGGTAGAGGTTGCAGTGAGTTGAGATCACACTACTGCACTCCAGCCTGGGTGACAGAGTGAGACTCTGTCTCAAAAAAAAAAAAAAAAAAAAGAAAAATAATAATAATTATCCTTAAAATTCCCCAGGGAAGGCACATGTTGAAGATTTATCTCTTAGAAAGTGCAACATAGCCAGTCTTTCTGGCTTTACCCTAAAGTCAAGCCTTTACCCTTGCTAGGTGCACATTTGCTTTGATTCGTTGGGACACAACCTAGAAATAAGAGTATGGACTCTGAATCTGGATTGCCTGGGTTCCAGTTTGGCTCTACCACTTACTAGTTGAAACCGAAATGATGTAAAGATGCCAGTGTTACAGGCCAAGGGGAATAAGTTCAGAAAATCTTTATTTGTATTGGTTTATTTCTGTATTTATCTCAGGAAATTAGGATTCAAGATATAAATTTACCTAAGTTAATGTTATTATCCATTATGAAAAACATTTCCTCCCTGATCTTTGAAGATTTCATATTATTCTCTCAATTTTTATAATTGAGTATTTTGTTTTGGTTTGTTTTCATATCTTCTCTGAAAGTTAATATGAAGGTTAGCATAGTATCTTTATATATATGCTATTGTTAAAAATGACAGATTTAGGAAAGATTACCTTAAAATAAAATAATATAAATTAGCTAATCTCTTAGGTGTATCTTACACAATTAGAGGTGCTTTTATGTTTCTTTTTAAAATAGAATTATAGTTAATCATTCAAATATCTCTCCTTGTAGTTAATCCTGAAAGAAGTTGACTCACTATTGTATGTCGACACTGATATCCTTTTTTTACGACCAGTTGATGATATTTGGTCTTTACTAAAGAAATTTAATTCCACACAAATTGCTGCAATGGCACCAGAACATGAGGAACCTCGAATAGGATGGTATAATCGCTTTGCTAGGCATCCATATTATGGAAAAACTGGAGTAAACTCTGGAGTTATGTTGATGAACATGACTCGAATGAGAAGGAAGTATTTCAAGGTAAGTCACTAATACAGGTAGTTGTTAACATTTCTCTAAAAACCTTCTAAATTGTTTTTAATAAAACTAAATTTTATTAAAAACTAAATTGAACTATAAATAATTTTTCTATTTAGAATAATCTCATTAGAAGAATATAAATATCTAGATTTATCTAGAAGTGTGTTCATATTATTCTGTTTAACAGAGCATTACAATAGGTCAAACCAGATGACATGACAATGGAGTAAAATAACAATGCCCTAAGTAGTGAACATCTTCTCCCTAGATTGCCATTCCAGGAAGCAGATGTTATTTTGTAGTTGTACATTCATAGAATACATAGAATCTAAATTATGATATACCTTAGGGACAACATGGAGTTGCAGTTAAGAGCATAGACTCTGCAACCTGTTTGTTCTCACCCGTAAAATGGAAATGATAGCACTACCAATGTCTTGGGACTTTTGTGAGGAGTAAATGAGTTAGAACAGTGGCTGACACATAGTAAATGTTAGCTATTATGGTGTTATTGGAAGTTAACTTAAAAAATTCCTGCGTGTTTCCAGTCTTTCAAATTGTGTGGTCAGTAGAAAAGTCAGACTATTTAAATTCTCTGAATGTGCATTTAGACTTCATCAGTATGTACTAATATTTACCAGTTTCATGTAGATTAGTTGTATATCTAAGTTGCAAGTCACTGTAGTTTGCTTGCTCTGGAATCAGACTGGCTTTCTGTGTAGCTTTGCCTCCTGTGCAGTACTTAACTACTAGCCACTTAGTTAACTTTTAAGTATGAATTCTCTCAGCTGAATAAGATAATAAACAGACTTAACTAAGTTAATTTAAAAGAGATCTGTTGAAAATTCTTAATAGAGCGTGACAGGAAGTAAGCAGTAAAATGTTAGCTAAAAACAGTGACTTCTGAGCAAACACTATACCCTCTAGGAGTATAGAGTTACTGTTTATTCCTTTATATCTCATTAGGACTAAATTAAACATTAAGGGATATCATGTCTTTTGTGATATATGTGTACATTTATATGTATGTATTTTTGTCATGCGTTTTTCACATGGTATCTGGTGGAATGGAGTTTATTCTTTCTACATGTCTGATTTAAGTCTTTTCCTCATTTGGAACTGTTTCCTCTTACCTTTGGTATAGGCAGCAGTACTGCTGTAGCCATTACCATGTGCCAACACTTCAGTCTTAGAAGTCTGACAGCTATTACCTGTCACTTGTCTATTCTGTTGATCTTAAACTTAGTTTTTTTTTTTTTTAGCTTTCCCTTTTCTGAATCTTTTTAAAATTCTGATTTAAATTTAGTTTTGTCTCCCACAACTGATTGCATTAATAAGCCCAGTGTTAGGTAACCTCTGCTCTTGTTTAACAGAGAACATCTCTCTTTGGTTACCAAGTTTGTTATTCTGTCTTGAATTTTTAAATTTCATGTACTGTAAAGTTTTACTAAATATAGTAAAACTAAGATAGTAACATGATTGTTATTTTCTGATTGTTAGACTGTGCACAGTGATCTTATACCAGAAGATGGTGCTGTAAGATTATCTGCAAAAAAAAAAAATGTGACTTCTCAATAACTGCATTTGAAATTTATGAAATTAATAGAAGTTTAGTGTTGCAAAGAACTATAGAGATAATATAACACCATTTGATTACAACTTAAAAATAGCTATATAGTTCAAATCCATTGTTTTTAAAATTATTTTGTTCTTATTTTACTTTTTTGTAGAGAACAGTCTCTACAGAAAAAGAGTTGCCCAGGCTGGTCTTGAACTCCTGGCCTCATGTGATCCTCCCACCTCAAACCCCCAAAGTGCTGGGTTTATAGGCGTGAGCCACTGCGCTTGGCCAGATTTACTGTTTTTAACTTACCTATTACTTATTTAAATATCATTCATAAATAATAGTTTCTCCCTTTCCCTTTTTCTTTTTTTTTCTGTGACATGTTCTAAGCTACCTAGAGGTGTAGTTATGGGAGTTGGAATAATTTCTAAACTTTCAAACCTTTTTTTCTTCTGCACATTAATGACTGTGAAAAAAAACACAAGATGATTGGTTGTATGTTAATTTGGCAGGTATAATTTACTTCACACCTACTATTCCTGTGTTACAAACAACCCTGTTCTTGCTCCTTGGGAACATACTCAGATTTGCTTTGTTTTCAAATATTTTATTATACTTAGGATTGTCGAGATGGTCCTGCAAAATTTATTGATTGTTAATTCCTTTTCTCATATATTTTTATTTTTCTTGATCTTTATATCTATAGCAAAACATTGTCTTGGTTTTTCCTACCAGTTTTACAGTTTCTAGCACAGATCTTAAATTTTAGAAATTTAGCAATATAACTGAGTTACTTATAATCACTTTCCAAACTGTTTTATACAGATCCACGATTGTTGCTTCATGGTTCTTAACCCATGTACAGCCACAATAAAAATTTAGGACAAAGGTCATAGTTTATTTATTTGCCTTGCTGTCACCTGGTTCTTACTACTTGTGGCTGTTCATTTCGAACCTGGTGTATTATAGTTATGTATATTAAAAAGTTAAAATAGGTCCAGGTGTGGTGGCTCACGCCTGTAATTCCAAGACTTTGGGAGACCGAGGTGGGTGGATCACTTGAGGCCAGGAGTGTGAGACCAGTCTGACCAACACAGTGAAACCCCATCTCTACTAAAAATAGAAAAAATGAGCTGTGCATGGTGGTGCATGCCTGTATTCCCAGCTACTTGGGAGGCTGAGACAGAATTGCTTGAACCAGGGAGGCAGAGGTTGCAGTGAGCTGATATTGGGCCACTGCACTCCAGCCTGAGCTACAGAGTGACAATGTGAGTGAGACTCTGTCTCAAAAGAAAAAAAAAATTAAAAAATTTAAATTCAAATAATTTAATTTAATGAAATAATTATTAAATTAAATTAAATATTAAATACAACTTTTTAAAAATCATAATTTTTAATCTCATAATTGTATATTTGCTAGATAATGAATAACATTGGTTAAATGATTACGTTCTATTTTGCAGTATCGTATTTGCCGTGTTGAATCCCTATTAGGGTATTTATTTTCTCTCCTTCTAAAAAATGTATTACTGTATTTCTTAGCCTTTTCCTGTTTATTAGAGAAAAACCAAAGAGTATAAATTAGACATGGTGGGAATTTTTTCTTTGTTTACTCTGCCCTTTTCAGCTTTCTATATATTATTTTGTAGAGTATTTTTTTGTCTGTTTGCTCCACCTACTGAGGGCAGGATGTGTCTTTTATACAGCTTTATATTAAGAATATTTAGCACAGTGTCTGACATAAAGTAGCAACTTGATAGATAATTGCTAGCAAAGGAGAGTCAGATGAAGGTTTTAGAAACTAGGCCATTAATGAATTGAAAAATACTGGAAAAGGGAACACTTTGTATGAAGTAGATACAATGCTTTTACATATTTGTAAGATGTATGTGATAAAGAGTTTTCTTGTGTTAGTACATAGCTTATGAGAGCAGAATAACAACAACGAACATCTTGCCAAAGGGGTAGAACTTTTTAAAGTGAAGTAACTAATCTTTGGGAATTGATGAGTTCCCACTTTTTTGTTGGAGCATAATGTGAATGCGCTTTAATTTTATATGTATGTATAGGACAGGCTGATAATGACAGTCCATTCATTTTCAAAGCATGCTTAATTCAAAAAATGAAACTAATTGATCTTGATGTAACATACATGTATTTGGTCATAGGTTTGCTAAATTTTGTAAAATTAGAACTACAGTTTTCTGTTTTAAATGTTATGAAACTAAATTGTGCTTATAAAGATTCAAAAAAGTAATTTTATGTAGAATGAAAAGACAGGTCTCCCCTTGACATATCTCTTCACACTTTCATGCCTCCACCCAGAGTGACACTATAAACTTGGCTATGTGTTCTTTGGACCTTTTAAAAAGTGCATTTTGAGGCTGGGTGCAGTGGCTCATGCCTGTAATCCCAGCACTTTGGGAGGCCGAGGCAGGTGGATCACTTGAGGTCAGGAGTCCTAGACCAGCCTGGCTAATATGGTGAAACCCCATCTCTACTAAAAATACAAAAATTAGCCAGGCATGGTGGCAGGTGCCTGTAATTCCAGCTACTCGGGAGCCTGAGGCATGAGAATCACTTGAACCCAGAAGGTGGAGGTTGCAGTGAGCCAAGATTGCGCCACTGCACTCCAGCCTGGGCGACAGAGTGAGACTCTGTCTCAAAAAAAAAAAAAAGTATTTTGAAACAAGCATAGGTGTGCATTAGCATTTAGATATAGGATTCTTTTATACATCTTCAGCTTTTTTCATTTAGTAAATATATAGTTGACTGACTTCTATGTCATTACACATAATCACATTTTTAATGTGTGTATGATGTGGAGAATGGATGATTTTATTTTCTCTTTTTGTGTGTACCTAGTATGGATATGTAGTTGTATGGCTGAAAATATATTTTAAAATTCATATTTTCTTGACTATACTACCGGTGTGGTTAAAAATCTTTTCTTATAATTTGTAGCCATTTCTGTTTCTTCTTTTGTGAATGGCTGCTTGCCCATATCCTTTGCCCACTTCTTGGTTTTCTCTTTCTTATTGACTTGAACTCCTTTTATATGTAATACCTCTTTATTAAACTCATTTCTCATAGCTTTTCATTGGTTGTCTTGGATAATCTAGGTTATATCATTAGCAAATAATACTAGCGTTATCGCTTCTTTTCCAAATAGTTTTCTAATGGGACTTTTTTCTTTAAGGTTTTTTTCCCTTTTTATTTTTTTCCTAAGACTGCAGTGAACTCTTAATTTTGTATTTCATTGATGCTCTTTGAATAGGTACATTTCTTGTAAGATATATATTCAAATATATATATTTGATTTATATTGGTTTTTATAATTTAAATATGTATCTGTATTTCTGTGTATATTTGAATAGATAGAATCACATGAAGACTTTAACATGGTGTTGTACAAGGGCTCCACCAGTTCTGTCTGTTGAAAGTGTTCCTGGTTTTTGTCCTTGTGTAATTGATATTTTTCTTTTCAGATCCTAAGAATATTTCCTTAACATACTCAATGACTTATTTCTAAGAGTTATCTTTTCAAATTGTTTCCTTAAGTAAAACTTGTTTTAGTCATTTTCCAGATTAAAAAAAATTCTGATTATAATTACTATTTACTGTGTTCTAAGAAATTTCACACAAGGATAATAATGCAGTTGTAGCACATCAATTTAAGTATGTGGATTTTTTTTTTTTCATGAATTCTGGCCTTCTCTTTTTTAAAGGATAGATTGTTTATATCGTCACTGAATTTAATATAAATTATAAAATGACTTATAACAATGTTTCTCAAACTATGGCAAAAGATTAATTTTTAAAAAATTTTCAGTATGTTATGAGCCAATACTTTTGTAAAAGAGAGATTACTAGAGAAATATATTAAGTACACATAAAACTGTTAACTTGCTGTAAAAGTTTCTAAATCTTACTCTTAATTTCTATACTTAATTACTTAATCTTATTGAGGACATAGAAAAAATTTACATAGTAGCACACTATGTGAACTGCTGTGAACTGCACTATGAAGAATACTGGTTTTTACTCTGGATAGTCCCCGAGTCACATAGATCTAAAAGGCCCGGTATTCACTTCTACCCCTTCCAACACCAAGTTCTCATTGGACTCAGTTTCTTGCTCCCTTAAGTATTTAACTTTGGGTTTTCAAATAACAAGTTTTGAGCATTAAGAAAAAAGCATTACATTCAGTATCTGAAAAAGCACTAAATTCAGTATCTTTTTTATTTTAAAAAAGCATAAAATATAAATTGATAGATTATTAGTATTATATTTTTATCTCATTTCAAAAGGCAGCATTGTGCTTAATGGCTAAACAGTAGGAGCTTTCCAGTTAAAATGAAGATAAGGATATCTATTAATATTACCATAACTTTTTTTTATTTGAGACAGGGTCTCATTCTGTTACCCATGCCGGAGTGCAGTGGCACAATCTTGGCTCACTGCAAACCTCCACCTCCCAGGCTCAAGTGATCCTCCCACCTCAGCCTTCCAAGTAGCTGGGACCACAGGCGTGTACCACCATGCGTGACTAGTTTTTTGTACTTTTGGTACAGGGTTTCACCATGTTGCCCAGGCTTGTCTCGAGCTCCTGAACTCAACTGATCAGCCTGCCTCGGCCTCCCAAAGTGCCGGGATTACAGGCGTGAGTCGCTGTGCCTGACATCATAACTATTAAGTAATATTTAAATAGTGGTTCTCAGCATGGAGGAATAACAAGCCCCCATATTAGACAAATGAAAGAAATAGGTATAAAAATTAGATAGGATGTAGAATTATTATTTGCGTGACATATTTATATCCCTGGAAAACCTCAACCTATTAAAACTACTATAAACATTAAGGATATATAGTTAATTTGGCTGAGTTGAAAACTAAAATACAGAAATTGCTGCTTTTAAAAGGAGAGTCAAACCATTTACTGTGCTGGCTGACTCCAGGGGTTCTTTCTCAAGTAGCGTAGTATGGTCTCCTCCTGAAAACAGTGTTGATATGCCAATTAGTTGATATCCAAGAATAGGAAAATACTTTTGTTAGCAGGGTTGTAATTCTGATAGCAAAGCTTACAGTTGTTAAAATGGGTTGGGTGAATCTGTCAGCTCTTCAGTAGCATGAGAGGCATCAGGAGACTAGGGTCTCTTTCTTGGAGTGCAGTCTTAATATTGCCAAAGCTGCCAGTCCTAACTTGCCTCTCTCTGGGATGGTGAGAGTTTATGGGACTGCATACATCTGCTAGACTGGACCCAGTTATTTTCCTCAGCAAATCTTCTTTGACTTTATATGTCATTCATGGTGCCTCTTTACAGAATTCTTTGCTTGCGTTTTCTAATGTACAAATAGCAACCTTTTAGAATATAAAATGGAAGACCCTCAAAAGAAATAGCATACATAGGAACAAACTTGAAAGAAATTGGCAGGATATATACATGTATATATACACACACATGTATTATATATATATATATATATATATATGTTTTAAATTTAATAAGATAAATGAACACTTAAATAAGTAGAAAGATACACTATGTTTTTGGATAGGAAAATCCATCATAAAAAGGCCAGTTCTCTGTGAGAATTTTTTACTACAAGTAGACACAAAACTCATACATTTCTCCTTCTTTGTTGATCTTCCCCACTCCCTCTGCAGCCTTGATTTTTGTCAATCATATTGTTTTTTAGTGTTTAACTTAAGTTGTGTATGCATTTTTTAATTTGATTTATCAATTTCAAAATGATCTATTTGAACTGCCAATTATAGAAGTTAAGCAAATAAATCAGACTAATAGCCATCATGGTAAAAAATAATAATAGCTAACACTGAATATTTACCACGTGTCAGGTGCTATTCCAAGCACTTTAAATTTATATATTAACAATTTTAATCATCAACAACTCTGACGTAGGCCCAGACGTAGGTACCAAAACTATCTTCATTTTAAGATAAGGACACAGTTACTTTCGCTTTCTTTCGTGACTTACTAGTTTTGTCACTGCCACATACAACTTCCTTTTGTTATCTTCTGTTTTACTGTACAGCCCTTCTCACATTTAGGGTTAGAAATGTCACTTGATATTGTGAGGAGTTTGCATTTCTCTTTGTGGATTTGTAATGGTTGCTGTGGGAAGAATGAGGAACTGTCATCATGCTGCCATTTTAAGCCTGAAAGTCTGAAGCTCTTTTGAATGTTTTTATCAACAGAATGATATGACAACTGTACGACTACAATGGGGAGATATACTTATGCCATTGCTTAAAAAATACAAACTAAACATCACATGGGGTGATCAAGATCTATTGAATATCGTGTTTTTTCATAATCCAGGTAATTATTTAAATTCCTTTTATTTGCATTAAAAAAATCACAGATAATACTTAGTGAAAAAGGAAAACATGCACTTATCTGATTCTGTCTTATATTAATGATTATTGCTATTTATGTTTAAGACGGAGTAAAACTTTTCTTGAATTTTGCTTTAATTGGAAGAGATCTAAATGCCAGACATTTTTCATTAATTCTTACTTGTAAGAGCTGTATTTTTTAACTGAAAGTTTTGCATAATGTTACATCTGTGGAATTAGGGGTATTTGCTTCATTGTTTGGTCTTTTCTTTATGTAGAAAGCCTTTTTGTTTTTCCGTGTCAATGGAATTATCGACCAGATCATTGTATATATGGAAGCAATTGCCAAGAAGCAGAAGAAGGAGGAATCTTTATTCTTCATGGGAACAGAGGTGTTTACCATGACGATAAGCAACCAGCATTTAGAGCTGTTTATGAAGCACTGAGAAATGTAAGATTTGCCTTTCCTTTTTTTTAACTTTTTGTTTGAAAATACTTTCAAGCTAATGGTTAGTTTACAAAAATAGTACAAAGAATTTTTACACACACTCAGCCTCATCTGTTATTAACATTTTGCCTTATTTGCTTTGTCGTTGGTTTTCTCTCTACATTTTTTTTTCCTGAAAACAATGTAGTTGTTTTTTCAGAAAACTCAACTTAAATTTGATTGTAAGTTGCATACATTAAGTTCTTTTACCCCTAAAAACTTCAGTTTTTTTTTTTAAACTAAGAATAAGGACGCTCTTTTATTAACCACAGTACATATGTCAAGCTAGAAAATTTAATACTGATGGAATACATTAATCTGCCATCCATATGGCTTTACTCTCTTTTGATCTAGAACAGTTTCTCAGTCTTTGTCTTATATGACATTGGCATATTTGGACAATAGAGCCTCTTCACCCCTTTTTTTATTAGAATGTTCTTCATTTTGGCCTGTCTAATGTTTCCTTACGATTAGGTTCAGGATATACATGCCTGCTCAGAATTCTGTATAGGTGGTGATGTGTGCTTCTCAGGCCCTCATAGTCATAGTCCCTTTTGTCTGCCCCTCACTGGTGATGTTGATTTTGATCAGTCAGTCAAAATGTCATTTATTTTCTCCACAGTGTAGTTATTTTTCCTCTTATAAGCAGCCTATGGGAAGAACCTTTTAAAATCATGTAAACATTCTGCTTCTCATTAAAATTTTCCTACAAGATTTAGCATCTATCGTTGGTTCTTGCCCAAAACAATCTTCACCATGTTATTTGCAAATTGATGATTGTTCAACAATAGCACTCCTTCCACATACATCATTTGACACTTGGCATGCGTCTATAAGGAAGATCGCTCCCTTTTGCACATATATTGATGTTTATATAATCAGTATGAACCCTTTGATACTTATGTTCCTCCAATGATTTATAATTCATTTTTCCTTCTAATTATGTTAATGCTAAAGTTGTTCCAGGTATGGCCATTGGGAGCCCCATTGGCTACTTCTTGTGTCCCTTTGACATGTCCTCATCACTTTTTTTGAGTACCTCTTTTATTTTCTGTTCCAACAAAATATTCCAGGTTTATTTTATACTTTCCCTGCCCTACTGTTGAAATTAGTCATCTGTCAAAGGAGCTCTGGTTCCCTTTAGTAGGCTCTGGATATTAGGCATGTTTATTGCTACCAGGGTCTCATTGCTTTTGAGCTTTTTCAGTGGCAGAGCTAGGAAGTATAAGCGTGCACACATGATGTTAATGTGTTCACACCTGATTCTCTAATTCCATGCCATTCTTCCAAGGCTCTTCCTTTCTTCTACTCTATATTATATCTTCTTTCTTCCACAGTTAGAATCCTGACTTCTGTCATCAACACATTTTGTCATTTGCTTAATCTTACAGTCATTTAAAATAATTTCAGAAATGTTCCTTTCATACCATTGTCTCCACCCCCAAACCAGCTTACTAAAAATGGCTTAGGATTTGTTTTCAGTCCTTCCTCTTCCTCTCCCCTGCTCCCAGACAAGGGTGTGTACTCAATACTGTATTCAGAAGTTACTTGGGTTAGTTCTTTTTTTCCGATCTTTCAGTGTGATTATTTTATTTATTTGAAATACAATTGGATTCATTCGTTTCCGTATGCTTTCAGTTTTAGCTTTTTTCCACTATCTTTGTTGATATAATTGCATTTTTTGATAGGGGGATATTAATATACTTCACAAAGTCAGAATAACATAAGGGTTTACTCAGATGTAACCTGTTATCTTAGCCCGTTTATCCTAACTGCCCCCTACCTCTATCGGGTACCAATTTCATTGTTTTCTGGTTTATCCTTCCTGTGTTTTTAATAAGATGAGCAGATGTATGTATGTTCTGTAATTTCCATTTTCTTACACAAAAGGTAGCTTAGTGTATATCTTCATTCATTCTTTGCTTTTTATATTTAAAATATTCTGGAGATATTTTCCTCAGTTTTTTTTTTTAAACTGTATGGTACTTTATGTATGTACCAGAGTTTATTCAGCCATTCTCTATGTTTGGACATTTTGGTAGTTTCCAATAGCTTGAATTATAAATAATGCAGCAATGTACAGTTAGCTGTGTCATATATATATATTTGTATTGTTGGAAGGTGAATCTTCATGGTAAATTCCTAGAAGTGGGATTATTGGATTGAAATTATTACCTGTGTTCCTCCATAGGGATTGTTTGTATTCCTGCCAATGATTTGTGAGACAGTCTGTTCCCCACATCCTCGTCAACAGAGTATAGTATCAAGCTTTTAAAATTTTGTCATTCTGATGGGTGAGAAATGGTATCTTAGTGTAGTTTTAATTTGCATTTCTCTTACGAGTGAAGTTTAATCTTTTTATATATTTATGAAATATTTTTATATCTTTTTGGGGGTGAATTTTCTTTTAAATATTTCTCCTATTCTTCTATAGTTTTTTAAAAATAACTAATGAAACATAATTTATATACCACAAAGTTCACCCATTTCAAATATATAATTCAGTAGCTTTTAGCATGTTTGCAGAATTGTACAACCATCATTATTACCATGAGGGCGTTTGGGCTTTCTTGCCCTCTCCTCCCTTTAATTGTTAAAAGTTCTTTGTATGTTAGGAATATTAGTACTTTTCCTGTGATATACATTGTGAATATTTTTCTACCAATTTGACTTATTTATGGTATTTGATGCCATTCAGTTTGTATAATATTTTTCATGTAATAAGTTTATCAATTTTTTTTTTTTTCACTGCTGGGTCTTGCTCTGTCACCCAGGCTGGAGTGCAGTGGCACAGTCTTGACTCATTGTAACCCCTGCCCCCTGGACTCAAGCGATCCTCCCACCTCAGCCTCCTAAGTAGCTGGTACTACAGGCACGTGCCACCACACTCAGCTAACATATGTATTTTTTATGGAGATGGGGATGTTGCTGTGTTTCTCAGGCTGGTCTTGAATTACCGAGCTGAAGCAGTCTGCCACCGTCAGCCTCCATAGTGGCTGAGATTACAGGCATGAGTCATCAAGCCCAGCCTCATCTTTTTTTTTTTTTTTTTTTGAGGCAGGGTTATGCTCTTGTCACCCAGGCTGGAGTGCAGTAGTGTGATCACAGCTTACTGCAGCGTTGACCTTCTGGATTCAGTTGATCCTCCCACAGCCTCCCAAATATCTGGGACTACAGGTGCATGTCACCAGGCTTGGCTAATTTTTGTATTTTTTATAGAGATGAGGTTTTGCCATGTTGCTCAGGCTAGTCTTGAATTCCTGGGCTCAAGCAATCCTTGGCCTCCCAAAGTGCTGGGATTACCAGGATAACCCACCACACCTAGCCTAACACCCCCCTTTTTTTTTTTTAAAGTTGTAATCAGCAAGCTTTTTCCAGTCTACACTTGGGTTACAGAACAGGTTATAGGATAATTCACCCATATGCTGTTTCATTTATTACATTCAGACCTTTGCTGTGTTTGGAATTTATTTACTCTTTTGTATTGGGTGAGGAATAGATACTATTTGACTCTTTTCCAAATGGCTATCCTTTTGTCTCTACACCATTTACTTAAGAATCTATCTTTGGCTGGGCGCAGTGGCTCATATCTGTAATCCTAGCACTTTGGGAGGCCAAGGTGGGCAAGCTCAGGAATTCAAGACCAGCTGAGGCAACTCCCTCAGCCCAGCAGTTTGAGACCAGCCTGGGCAGCATAGTAAGACTTTGTCTCTAAAAAATAAAATAAATTAAAAGGCTGTCTTTAACCAGAAGATTTCAGATACTGACATTATCATAAATTCCATTTGTAATTTCTGAATTTTCTGTTTTGTTCCATTGGTCAGTTCATTTGTACACTAATAGCACACTATTTTAATTATAAAGGTGCTTTGCTGTGTTTTAATATCTGATGGGGCTACTCCCTCTTTATAGCCTGTTTTTTTCAGTGTTTTCCTAGCTATTGTATATTTATTTTTCTATAAGTATCAACTCCATTAAAAAGTTAAAAACTTGTTGGTATTTTTAGGCCGGGCACAGTGGCTCACGCCTGTAATCTCAGCACTTTGGGAGGCTGAGGCGGGCGGATCACCTGAGGTCAGGAGTTCGAGACCAGCCTGGCCACCAAAGTGGTGAAACCCTGTCTCTACTAAAAATACAAAAATTAGCCAGGCATCGTGGCACGTGCCTGTAATCCCAGCTACTTGGGAGGCTGAGGCAAGAGAATCGCTTGAACCTGGGATGTGGAGGTTTCAGTGAGCCAGGATCGCTCCATTGCACTACAGCCTGGGCAAAAGGAGCGAAACTTCATCTCAGAAAAATTGATATTTTTATTAGGAGTATATTAGCTTCGTATATTAGGGACTGCTAACGTTTTGATGGTGTTGAGACATCCTAACCAAGAACAAGAGCTGTCTTTACATTTGTCTTTTAGGAATGTTTTATAGCAAGCCTGTCCAACCTGTGGCCAGTGGGCCGCATGCAGCCCAGGATGACTTTGAACATGGCCCAACACAAGTTCATAAAGTTTCTTAAAACATTATGACATTTATTTTGTGATTTTTTTTTTCTTAGCTCATTATTGTTAGCGTTAGTGTATTTTATGTGTGGTCCAAGACAATTCTTCCAGTGTGGCCTAGGGAAGCCAAAAGATTGGACACCCCTGCTTTACAGTTTTTTTTGCTACAGGTTTTGAATATAACTTAAGTTTATGCTTAAGTATTGTCTTTTTGTTGCTTTTGTAAATAAAGTTTTGTCTTTTAAGCATTTGCTTTATAATGAGTTTGGAAAAAAATTATACTGCCCCTCTCTCCCCCATCCCCCAGTTGTCTGTTTTCTCTTTTCTTCTTGTTCTTATTAGTCCCCTTTTATGTAATTGGGGTGGATTGATGGGGGACATGATTAATACTTCATATACCTCTAGGTGGATGCATGAACCAGATCTCTGTGAATGTTAAGGACCAAGACTTGGGGCAAATCCAGGGGAGGTTTGGATTTATGCTGTTACTTAACAAGCTGTATCACTATCCATGTTAGCTATTTCACTGCTACTAAGGAAGAAGTATTAATACATGTGATCACTCAACTCTCATTTAGATATGCTGTCTGTTCTACTACACTGTTTAATCTTACGTGGGTGGAAACAAAGCAAATAATATGAGTGCTACTTTAGTTTAAATGTGGGGGTCAGGAGAAAAGCTGATGACCCCCGTTTCCTAAGTTCTCATTATTTGTTAGTGACTGAAATCCTCTGGTCTATGTAGCCTCATCAATAGCAGTGAGAATAAAAACACTTCACTATAATCCATGGTGACAGAGATTGTTCTAGAACTGTGAAAGAGTGTCTCAGTTTTGCCTTGAAGGGCCAGGGAATGCCTCCTTGAAGAGGAGGCTTTTGAAGTGGGCCCTGAAGAATGAGTAAGAGTTTTCCAGGTGGGTGGAGGCAGTCTGGGCTGACAACTGCCTGAGAAAAAGGTTCAGAGGCTGTGAAAAGATCCACGGAGAGGTCAGGCATCCATCTGTTCAGTGTGACTGGAGTGATGGATGAAAGTCAGCAGGGGCCGAAATGAAGTGGATGTGGAGGTGGTATGCCATGTTAAGGTGATGATCTACCATGAAAAGGAATTAAAGTTTTCTCCCAGAAATCTGTTTCTTAAACTTGGTGGTAGACAAAATGCTAACAGCATTGTAGGCTACAGTTCTAGTGTATTAGTAGCTAAGTTTCTTGTCCTATAAACTTGACAGATACAGCTTCTAAACAATCAGTTTATCATGGTATGACTATACTCACTGATGAATTATAAAATTTAGTGTTGATGTTCATTTTAATGTAGCAGGCTTTGTATGCCTTCAGAAATTAATACTGTATTTTAATAATGCTTTATTATGGGTTGTCAGAAGGTGATAAAAATGAAGAAAAGTGCTTGTGGGGTTCTGAGACTTTGCAGGATAGAAAAGAAATGCATTCCTATAAAAATGAGATTTCCTTTGTTTCCTTTGAGTATTAAAAAAAATCTACTATTAGAGAATTAAGTTTCCCTGGTTTTATTTGATCTTTTCTTTGGTTTATAAGTGTGTACCTTTAAAAATACGAGTAATAGTTTTAAGTTGATTAATTACACTTGATTTTTTTTTAAAAAAATCTTATTTTTAAAAGGATTTCAGATGATTAATTATCTTCTGTGTTTGTTTTGGGTCTGTGTTAACTACAGCTTACATTTATTCATTTTTCAACTTAATGAAGTTAATCTGTCTTTTATGATGCTCCTGCTTAGTGTTTTTATATTTCCTTATCTGTAATTCAGTAAGAAGTGTAATTTTTAAAAGAATTGTATTCAGACAAGGATATTTATGCAAGTTTCAGACAGAGGCTTAGTCATAGCCATGGAATGCAGTGAACAGTATGAATTATAAAGGATGTGAACCATCTTTAAAGTGTGAATTCATGGCTATGTCTACCAGCAAATCTGTTTTTATAGTCCATGCATATTTGTTAAATATTAGTTGTTGAGTGAATAAAAATGTTTAAAAATTACAAATTCAAAATCAGAACAAAACATTTTATGGCTCTATAAGGTATTTTCTGCATCATGCATTTCATTCTGAATTATATTTCTTGATGTTTTGTGTTAACTTTGATTTACTTTACACCTTGCTTATATTTGCAAAACTCTCTGCAAAGCAGTCTTGAATGTTTTCCTTCCCATAGTACTGACTTGCATATAGTGAACACTTAGGATTTGTTGGATTGAACTGCCATTCTCCTGTATTTTCCAAAGATGTACTATTCTTTGAAAATACCTCAAATTGCCTAATTATGGTCATCACAGCTTCACTATTTCATGTCGTTCAACTGACAGTATAAAGCATGAGCTTCCTAAAAATCAGTGTACTGGGCCCTGTGCCACTGAAAAGAGGGAACGATTAACTGTACATGGAAAGGCTTCTCAGAGGAGCTGACATTTGAACTAAGCTGTAAGGATGATGAGTACCAGGCAGAGAAGAAAAGGTAAGGATAAGTCAGGCATAGTATATAGTATAAAAAGAGGTCTGGAGTCAGGTAAGGGCACGTGTGGCCTCTGGGAAAGGGACACCTAGATGTAGGTTATGTACTGTACAAATATGCAGGCACTGCAGATTATGTAAATGGAAGAATGCAGTGTCTTTAGGCTATGTTTATATAGGTGGAAATTTTGGAAATTTATCTTCTTCCTTAGAGGTCAGATTGCTTTTTTCATATGATGGGCAGAAAGAGGTCTAACTAATGAGACACTGTTTTTATTTAAGAAAATATTCATCAAATGGCTTTTTTTTTCCAGTGAAGAAGAAAACATTTTTTAACCACAAACACTGGGATTTGAATCACATGAAAACAAAGAAACTTAATCTCGAGTACTACATACTCCTGGGAATCAATAGTCTTCCTCTATTCTTAAATGCTTTCATTTTATTGTCATATAGTAAAAATAATGATCATAGTAGTTTGGGCTTCCCATAATTTTCTGCCACTCAACCAGTTGTTCAAGTGTTTTTTGTGCACATTGAAATATTTCTTGAAAGTATCACTTGGTGAAGTTTACCTTCTTCAACCTGGCTACACTTTTAACCCCAAACAAATTTGTGTATCTGTTTACAATACAGCACTTTCCCCAGATTTCCACCATTCATTGAGCTTCGTCCTTCAACAGGATTTTTGAACTGACTTGGCATGGTGTTGTTTGCTTAATGTTTGGATAAGTAGTGCTGTCTGGTGGTTAATTAAGTGCATGGACTTTTGGAGCTAGACTGTTGGGACGGAATCCTGGCTTAACCACTTACTGCATTTATAACTGAGAAAATCCTCTCTCCTTGCCTTCGTTGTTTCATTGTCAGATGGAGATAATATTACCTATATTATAAATGTGTTAATACATATACAACTCTTTTATATGTATATATATTTTATTATACTTTAAGTTCTAGGGTACATATGCACAACGTGCAGGTTTGTTACATATGTATACATGTGCCATGTTGGTGTGCTGCACCCATTAACTCGTCATTTACATTAGGTATGTCTCCTAATGCTATCCCTCCCCCCTCCCCCCACCCCACAACAGTTCCCGATGTGTGATGTTCCCCTTCCTGTGTCCATGTGTTCTCATTGTTCAGTTCTCACCTATGAATGAGAACATGCAGTCATATACAACTCTTAGAATGGTGCCTGGCATGTAGGTAGCAAGCACTCTGTGTGCTATTGTTATTTTTATTACATTGTTCCTGGCTAAGTTTCCCCATCTCTTTTTAAAACTTTTATCTTCAAAACAATTTTAGACGTTTATCTTGAGTATGTGTGATTGATTTTTAAAAATCACTCCAAGGGTGATGGTTTTATGCAGTTAATGCTTACAGTTTTTCTTGCTCAAAAGATGCCAAAGTTTAGGATCTCTTTGCATCTCTACAGTGACAAAACCCATGTTTTAAACAAACATCCAAGTTCATCCTCTTCTCTGTAGATTGACTGCAGCTTCCTGCAGACTCACTAAGTGTGCTTGGGGTGGTTCTTTCATTTCCTCTCCCTCAGCGTGCTAGTGAACCTCAGGGATAACCTGGGAGATTTCTGGTTCTGAATTTCCTTTGTGATTTTGCATTTTTCACCAACTTCAACTTCCATATAAAATGTTCTACTTTTAAGCCCCATCCATCTTTCTAATTGAAAATACACCTAGTTGAAAATACTAAATCACAAAATACCTGGTTGAAAATACAAAGATTACTTATTATTTCCACTTTACTACCACAGCCTTTTCCAAAATTTATTTCTCGATATTAGTATATTTTATAGTAAAAGAAGGACTCTAGCCAAAAATATATCTTGGGACAAACAGGTCAGACAACACTCAACAGATTTATTTTCTGTTTTACTTTTTAGACTTTTTCCTGTGCTAGTCTGAATCCCCATGAAGAGTGCCTAATATTTAGCAGTTTTCAAATGTGTTTATTGTTGGGATCCTTCTGTGCAGTTAGGGTTCTGTGGGACATGCTGAACTATGTTATCATCTTACATTCCTCCCACCATATGCCTTTACTTCATTTCCTTCCATTCCAGCCTCAGCAGTATTATTGCCAGAGTGGTTTTTAAAAGGTGGGACGCGGGTGTGGTGTGTGGTAAAGCTCTTCTTTTAGCCAGTCCACCTTTTATTAGTTTCACCGAGATACTCGTAGGGCTTTTGGTTGTCTTCTTAACCAGTATTTCAGTCTTCTCTGCCCTTGCGCATGTTCTCCAGGATTCCCCCGGAGATTTACCATGGCTGTCTTTCTTTAATGGGAGATAATAGTTCTGTTTAATTTATTGAAAATATTTGTTAAACATCTAATTTCTGTGAGACGTTAAATGGAGATCGTTCATATTAAACTGATTGAAGAAGTTTGGAAAATAATTGAACTTACATATGTACCTTTGCCTTTTAAATTTTTTATTTTTTAAAATTTTCTTTCTCTAGTGTTCTTTTGAAGATGACAACATCCGTTCCTTATTAAAACCTTTAGAACTGGAACTACAAAAAACAGTGCATACATACTGTGGAAAAATTTACAAAATATTTATCAAACAACTAGCAAAAAGTGTAAGAGATCGTTATGCCAGATCACCAAAGGAAAAGTGATTCTTGGTGACTGCTTAATCAAATGGATGAAAACAAAGAATCAGAAGATAAGTGTGAAGGAATCGTCTTGGATGAAGTATTCAGGAAGGAATTACTCATCTCCAGAATAATTTTTTTTTTCCTAAAGAAGTTAAGTAAGCAGTATTTTCAGGTAATGAAGAATAAGTTAAAATCTTGGGCCTCAACATTGAACATTTTTTATCTCTGATGTTTTGTAATGTTACTTGCTATCATTCCAGTATTGATGAAAATACTATTGAATGGGTTTAACCTGCAGACTTCTGTTGACTCATACTCTCAAGAGTGGTAGGGGTGTGTAGATGGAGAAAATGTACCTCAAACAGTGCCAACACTCAAGACTGTGAGTAGAGCAATAATTTTATGTCAGCACTAACCTCACTTTAAAAGTGTGAGAAAAAAGTTTGTTTACAGGAGCAGAAACAGGTCTGTTGTTTCTGAAGAAATGTGATGTAACTGATGTAACCATTGACAATCTATGTGTGCCTTTATACATTTCATCTCTGTTTTAAAATATTTTTATGACAATCATGTTTAAAATTATTTTTAGATTACAAGTAAGCTGCATGTTAAAAATTGAGCTGTGTAAGGTAGAGGAAAAATAGTGAAAACTTTGGGATTTTAATCTGTGTGTGCGTGTTTGTGTGTGAGAGAGAGTGAGAAATGTAGTGTTTCATTTTGTATGCATTAAACTGTCTTGCCAAAACTCAGATCTAAGATTGTTAAATAGATATTTGGGGAATTTTTTTTTAATCACTTTAAATGAAAAACGTCAGCTTTACTGGGCATTCTGGAAGCAAAATATATTATGCTGATGGTAAAGTGAGAACCTTAAGAGTATACTCATGATGGTGGAAAGTGTGATGGACCAAAATGCATAAGCTATATACTTCCTGTGAGTAGTAATTTTAGTTACAATGGAGTAGAAAAATATGGTCCATTTAAACTTGTCTTCTACCTCATAACGGCCTTGCAAGATACTTTTGAAGAAGCAAATGTCTAGAGCCTTACTTTAAGTAAGTTAAACAACTTAAGTGGATGATTTGGAATAAGATTGTTACATCCAGCTGTAGAAAATGTGGTTTTAATTGGGTTGATGTGCATTTTTGAATATCACCTAAGACAGTTAATTTTTTTAAATCTTGAGAAATTACTTCTTTGGCATTCTTGACCTGTTAGCTAATATAACTATAGATTCTGAATACTTAGCATATACTATGCTGGGGCACATATCTTATTTTACCAACAATATGATTATCTATATGGTTATCTTCTTTTTCTCCCTGATATTTTAATGCTCAAGTAGAAAATGGAAAATCATGAAGGAAAAATACAACCTGTGAAAATTGTGGCAGTTAGCTTTGTGAAGACACAGTGACCTCTGTGGAGACATGGAATATGCAGAAAGAGATGGTTAGTACAGTTGTTCTGTCGTCTGCAGTTCAGTCAGGGACAAATTGAGAGAGGAAAGTTTAAGCAGGGTGCATTAGAAGTTGATAACCAGTCCAGCATTCTTAGAACAGATGGGTTTAGAGAACACGAGTTGTAGTTCCTTGGCAGAATGCCATGGTGAATATAAGAAACTGTGAAATTGAGCTTACTGAGTAGAAAATGAGAATACTAAAAATGTGAAGTTTGGAGGGTATGTATTAGATCATTTCTAATGGTCCTCAAATAATGATCATTGCCTGCCTGACTATGTAAGATTCTTGTTGGGAGCTTAAGAATAGATTCCTGAGCTAGGCCTTTGGAGACTCTGGCATGCTGTGTCTAGGAGGGAGTCTGTAAAACAATTTTTAATGAAGAAATTTAAAAATTACACAAAACTAGAATAGTGCATTGGTACTCAACATCCAGATCTGACACTTATCACTATCTTACCATGTTTGCTTCATTTGTCATTTTTTTGTTTGCTTAAGTATCTTAAAATCCCATACATTGTGTTATTTCACTGCTGTGAACACTTTGGGTAGATACCACGATATCACACCTAACAGAGGCAGCAGCAGTCCTTCGGCTTCATCTCATAGCCAGTCCTTAAGCAAATTTCCCTGATTATCTCAAAAATCATCTTCTAGTTGGTTTGTTAGAATCAACAGAATATAAGTCACATGATGATTTCGTTTTTAACAATCACCTCAGATGACTTTGATGTTAGCTACTTTGAGAACCACTGGAAATTATTTTGCCAACTTGAAAGTTCAAGTTAGGATACCACAATTCTTGGCACGTTTGGTGGATTATAAATGTGATTTTGAAATATTAGAGGAAGCATTTGGGGTTAATGACAGGATATGAATTTATATTAGTAAGTTTGATAAGATAAAATTTCCTCAGTGAACGGAGAATCTCAGCCCCATGGGCTCTAATTGATTGGGACTTGTGTAGAGCGTGGTCACAGTTTAATCCAACTGGACTGTATGCTGTGGTCTCACTCATGTTGTGGCTTATTTACACTGTCACACACACTACATTGTGGATCAGTTGGAAGGTTCTTCATCTGGTTTATTTAGACCTGACCTAATTGATCATTTTACCATAAATTGAATTATAGTGAAAACTGTCTTTTGGGTACTGTTTCTACCTAAAATTAAAGGTATCACAAAATATGTATAATAATTTTTAAATGAATTTTCTGAATTTATCTTTAGACAAGGTAATTCTTTTGAATTCTAAAGAAATGCAGTTCTTGGAGTTGATGAGAGGTTAAATTATAGATGGACAACTTAGAGAACGTATTCCATCTTCATATAAATGGTCTTTCATAAAACATAGTGTATCTATGCAGTTTATATAAACTACATGATTTATTATTTGAGTCTATGTATTCTGACCTCAGAACTATCTCTGGGCTACAGTATTACCAAAGTGGGATGCCTTTAAAATGCAGTCAAACTTCATTTGTATGAAGTAGAAAAGAACTTGGGAAACCTTTAAAAATATATATTGTGATTTATGCTTTAAGAAAATGCATACTTTTTTCTAATGAAGAGTAGTTCATAATATATAAGGGTTTTAAGGCCCTGAAATAACATTAGTGCTTACTCATTGCTCTCTCATCTTGCCTCCAGTCAGATGTTATTGGTATAGTGAAAAGAAGACCAGATTTTGAACTAGATCTGGATTCTCTTTTTAGTAACTCAGGCATGTTATTTACCCTTCTCTGTGCCTTAGGTTTTTAAGTACAATCAGTGTACCCTTCAAACCTCACAAGATGAAACTCAGAAGAGATAATGGATTTGGAAGCATTTTGCGTGGCTTATATTATGCCACGCCAGTGTTACTGTTGAAGTTCTGTTTTGTTCGTTGTTTTCTGTACAGAGCGTTCAGTTTACTCAGGCTGAATGTTTTCTGACATATATCTCCAGTATGAATTTGTTTATGTAAGGAAGAGTTTTTCAGGAAGAGAAAGTAGAGAAGAAAAGAATGATGTAACTAAATCAAAAAAGAAGGAAAAGAGAGGAAGTGAGAAAAGGGGTGAGGAAAGAGAAAGGAGTAAGAATGGGGATGGCAAAGGGCAGAGTAAGAGAAAAGATGGAATGAGTGTATGGAAAATTGAGAAGTAGAGATGGAGAGAAATGGTGTGGAAACATTTACTTTTTGAGTTGTAGCCCTCACACTACATCAGTTTGCTTGCCTGGGCTCTCTGGGGTCAGGAAAGGTGCTGACTTCCATGGAATGGGGCAGCAGGGCCTGCTGTATTTGGTTTGTTAGTACTAGAGTTGTTTCCCAATCACCCTACTCACTGATCATTTAGTGCCAATTCAACATTTTATGTCTTTTTTTTTTAGTGGATCCCAGTTTGTGAGCTAGGACCTGTGGAAATACAAGTATCTTCCTTTTTAACTTTATTGTTTTAGCCATCCCAAGTGTTAGACTGCAAGACTAACTACATATTCCCCAGTGGAGGTTGGAAGTGGAGGGGACTGCTTCATTAGGTCTGAAGGGGGCCAAGGAATGTGTTGCAGCAGTTTTCGCAGATGATACTGACGAGAGGCCAGGTTTGGGAATCACTGCCCTGCCTTGGATGGCAAATTAAGCAATAAATTACACCTATTTATTCCTCAGTTGGGATACTTTCAGTTGAACCATTCTGAGTAGATTTAAGAGAACAAAAGACAGCAGAAATACCTTAAAAGATATTATTGGCTGTCTTATTTTTCAGATATTTGTATTTAATAAATACCTTAGTAGTAGTCAGAACCTCTTTGAGATGTTTTTAGAAAGACCACTGATTTGTTTTTTAAAATAATTTTTTTGGTTCCTTAGAGTAGAGAAGAAAAGTAGGGGTGCAATATGTCAGGTGTGGGGCCAGTTATCCATTTATTAAATGCAATTTCAAGTGTCTTAAAAACAATAATTGCCTTATTGCATTTTAATATTTAATAAAGTAGATTAAATAAAGATTTGTATTATAACAGTTATTCTTTTATCCATTGCCAAAGCAACCCTTTTTTGCCTATTAAAATCTGGCTAAACTGTTCTGATGTTGTTTCTTAATTCATTAAACATGAAACTAGGTTTTACAAACTAAATTATATAAAGACAGAAGTCTAAAAATGGTACCAGAAAATTTTTTTTTAAAAAATTAATGTGTTATTCAAATATCCAGCAATTAAAGACTCATGAGAAAAACAGAATAGCATATTAGATGTAACAGTTTAAAATGGATTGCAAATCAATGTCAGACTTAAATAGAAAATATTTATTATCACCTCATTTCTACCAATAATTTCAGATGTTTAATGGGACTTTGAAAAGATAGGAAAAAATAGAAATGAAAATTTATCTCACCTTTAATACTGTGAATACTATTTGGAGGGTCCCTGGTCAGACATTTAAATATCAAACTTAAGAACTGACATGGAGCCTTTGATTAGTTTATATACAGGATCTGAATATTTACACACATAGCACACTATAGCAACCTCTTGTAAAAAATCATGAAGATAGAATTCAACAGTGTATATTCTATTAAAAAGTAAATTGGCTGGGTGTGGTGGCTCATGCATGTAATCCCAGCACTTTGGGAGGCCGAGGCAGGAGGATCGCTTGAGCCCAAGAGTTTGAGACCAGCCTAGGTGACAAAGTGAGACCCCATCTCTACAAAAAAATTAAAAAATTATCCAGATGTGGTGGTGTTTGCCTGCGGTCCTAGCTACACAGGAAGTTGAGGCAGGAGGATTGCTTGAGTGCAAGAGTTTGAGGCTGCAGAGAGCCAAGATTGCACCATTGCACTCCAGCCTGGGTGACAGAGCGAGACCCTGTCTCAAAAAATAAAGGAAATTGGCTTTGACTATGAAAAACAGCCATTTTCAACCTTTTTATAAAACCTCTTCAGGGAATATTGGAATATTATTTTTGTCAGGCAAAAATAATCCAGGGCTTGAGCATTGCTGTAGAATATGTTATCTGTTCAAAACTTAGCAGAGCACGCATGCATCACATGCATTGTCATCAGTATTTGAGAGCTGAACCAATGGTTTTTGATGGTTGCCGTAACAGAAGATCTGTGAAGAGGATGGTGGTTTGCACCTGTTCCTGAAGTCAAACTGGAAAAGGTTGCAGGTATTTCAATTTTCTCAATCATTTTGCATAAATGTATTAATATTTTGAGTAGTAATAGTTCTAAACCTGCAGGAAGGCATCATTGTATACTGTGGTATGTAGAGAATACTACTCTTACACTGCTCTTTATCTTAAAATGTTTTGGTATACTGTGAATATTTTCCTCTAAGTATTTGGTGTATTTTGACAGTTATTAAAGGAGAATATAAAATTAAAGATTCTGGTCTAAACTAAGAATAATGGAAAGTTGCTTCGTCCTGCCTTAGAGGAGTTTTCAGTTCATCCTCTTCTTGAGAAACTATGTGTTGCTGTTACTAAATAAACATTTACTCAATAAACGTTTTATTTCCTCAAATTATATGTCTGGATTATTTTAGCAATCAAAAACAGTTGTAGAATCTTTGGGATTGAGGTGCTTGAGAACCAGGAGTCTAGGTGGAGGGCAGTTCCTAGATTGGCTAATTCAGCAGCTGAACAGTGTCATCAAGAGCCTTAGTACCTTCTGCCTTTCATTGCCATTCTTAACAAGTGAGTCTGATGTCTCCCCTTATGGCTCCAAAGTGACCACAAAGGTTCCAGGTGGTGGATGATAAGAGGCTGAAATATCTTTTTTTTTTCTTTTTTATAAGAGGAAGGTTTCACCTGCCCCCATTCACTTGCTCTCATGGCCACAGCAAAATGTGTATTATCTCCAAAGCAATCACTTTTCAAAGGGAATAAAGCTCCTATGATTGGCTCAGACCATGAAGACCTGCCCTTGAAATTAAAAATGATCTCCCCTTGATGAATAGCTGCTCGGAAAAAGGGGAACAACTTCCAGGTTCTGGATGAAGTTAGTGGGTAGGAGTTTGTAGGGAGTTTGGAAGATAGCTGCTCGGTGGGCAACAGACCATGTGTTGTTTTACTGACCCAAGTATTTCCTATAATTGTCAGTCGGGTCAAATTTCAGATCTAGAGAAGAGCACCCTTTTCCATCACAGGAACTAGTTTTGCTTTTAAAAGTCTCTGGTCTCTGTAGGCCAGGTATGGTCACTCACGCCTGTAATTCCATCACTCTGGGAGGCTGAGGCAGGTGGATCACAAGGTCAGGAGATCAAGACCATCCTGGCCAACATGGTGAAACCCCGTCTATACTAAAAATACAGATTAGCCAGGCGTGGTGGCATGCGCCTGTAGTCCCAGCTACTCAGGAGGCTGAGGCGGGGGAATAGCTTGAACCTGGAAGGCAGAGGTTGCGGTGAGCCGAGATCACGCCACTGCACTCCAGCCTGGCGACAGAGCAAGACTCTGTCTCAAAAAAAAGTCTCTCTAAGGCCAGGCAAGGTGGCTCACACCTGTAATCCTAGGACTTCGAGAGGTTTGAGGTGGGAGGATCGCTTGAGCCCTGGAGTTTGAGACCAGCCTGGGCATCATAGTGAGACCTCCCTCTGTACAAAAAATATAAAAATTAGCCCGGTGTGGTGGCACACGCCTGTGGTCCCAGCTACTTGGGAGGCTGAGGCAGGAGAATTGCTTGAACCCAGGAGGTGGAGGTTGCAGTGAGCCGAGATCATGCCACTGCACTCCAGCCTGGGCTGCAGAGCTGGACCCTGTCTCAACTAAGATGAGAATCGTGTACTAAAGAAAATTTAATAAATAAGTCTCTGAAATGTTACAGTCGAACAGTTTTCAGTTTTGTATATTTTAATTTTTATACTTTTTTTTGTCACAATCATAAAAGGTTTTAAAAGATTGTGGAGATGATGGCTTCTGAGGAAAGTTTAAAAGTTCCTTTAAATTTGTGATGAAAATGTATTTATTGGCAATCTTTGTCGTGTTTTTAAAATTCTTTTTGTAAATTAAAAAATGTCCCAATTGAAACAATAAAAAAATACAGAAGAGTTAAAAGTGTATTATGTGAAATATGAAAGAACTTCCTCACCATCTACAACTAAAAAACACTTGGTATTTTTCTTCCCAGTCTTGTGCTATGCACATGTACATACAGGAACACACAAATGTGGCTGTAAAATAGTTTCTGCTTTATGCACTATTCTATAACTTGCCTTTTTTCACATCATCTATGACATCTTAATACATTAGATTCATCTCATTCTTCATAGCTGTGATTATTGTATAGTAGTGTCCTTAAGTAGAGATGACACATTTCTGAAGTACAAAAGTGTAAGTAAATGAGTTTTAACTTGATAGGGGAAGTAGAAACCAACCAGTTTCTAATTTTTTGCTTAAATGTGATTTAACTTAAGGAACATTAATTTAGAGTAAAACTGTAGTGTAAGCATCAAAATAAATGTTAGATTTTTTAAAATTAAAAGTGAAATTTTCTACAGTTTGATACATACTAATAGGTTGGTGCAAAAGTTATTTATTTTGCCATTTTAACGTTTAATGGCAAAAACCGCAGTTACTTTTGCACCAACCTAGTAGGTAGCAATACCTGATTTTGTGAAACTGGTGTGGCTGATAAATGTTACTTCAAGGTTCTTTTACATACATGTTTTTTAAATATTTTGAACAGTTTAAAAACTATTTGTGGTCTAGATGTGGTAGCTCATGCCTGTAATCCCAAGCACTGAGGCAGGAGGATTACTTGAGGCTAGGAGTTTGAGACCGGCCTGGGCAGCAAAGTGAGATCCCATCTCTATAAAAAATGTTTTAAATGAGCTGGGTATTGTGGCTTGCACCTGTAATCCCAGCTACTCCAGAGGCTGGGGCAGGAGGATTGCTTAAGCCCAGGAGTTTGAGGCTGCCGTGAGCTGTGATCATGCCACTGCACTCCAGCCTGGGCAACAGAGTGAGATCCTGTCTCCTTTTAGATAGATAGATGATAGATAGATAGATACATAGATAGATAGATAGATAAGATAGATAAGTAGAGAAAATTAACAAAAATTGACCACCAAATGTGCCTGTGCTTTGCCCACTATTCTTTAACATTTAAAATATATTAAGAGAGTCACTTGACTGGTTAAAAGATATTTTCAATATATAAAAAATATATATGTATATTCAAAATTAATTTCAGAAACATGTTTTATTTAACCCAGTATATCTAACCTATCATATGGACATGCCAGTATAAAGTTAGGTATTTCATATTTTTTCCCCATACCAAGCACCTATTTTTCACTTACAGTGCACTTCTCAATTTGAACTTGCCACAGTTCAAGTATTCAATGACCACTTGTGGCTGGTGGCTATCATATTGGACCATGCCTCTCTAGAATGTAAACTCTCAAAGCAGACACCATTTCTGTTTTTACTATAGTATCTATCACCTAGTACCCTGACCACAGTACTGTACATGGTAAACACTAACATTTGAATTTTAATTGAGAAGTGTTAGAATTTTTTTGTGAGTTTGGAAGAGTTTGAAGTCTAGCCATTTAAAAAACAAAGACATTAAGTAAAATACTTCAAAAGATGCCCATCCTCACTGATAGCGAAATAAACCAGAAGAGTTTCATTTTTTTTAAAATTGTAATGAGTGGACCTTGTATTTTTTAATGTGAGAAAGCTCAGTACTGAAAAGTTACGGTGAATCTACTATGCAGGAACTACAGACGGAAATGTAAGATTGGTATGATTTATGTACCCTTTTAGTTCACTTTTTGGAATTATTGATGATTCACGCATATAACATTAATCTCAAATCTGTAGTAAACATGGGAACAACCTAAATGTCCAGAGGTAGGGCAATTGTTAGGAAATGATACATTTTTCTAGGTCAGTGGTTCTCACCTGGAGGCAGTTTTGGCCCCCAGGAGACATAAGACAATGTCTGGAGACATGATTTTGGCAAACACAACTATACAGGTGGGAGGAAGGAAAAGGGTGAGTACTACTGGCATCTAGGGGGTAGAGGCCAGGAATACTGCCAAATAACTTATTTGTTGGACAGTCCCCCACAACTAAGAATTAGCTAATCCAGAATGTCAATGCCACTGTTAAGAAACTGGGATACGGGTAAATAATTGCAAGACGTTACTTGATACAGATAAGCACAGGAGGCCATAGCCACACAGGGAAGTCAAGCTGCTCTTGAGGCATAAGAAATGTTTCCCAGAGGAAATCACATCTGTACTGAAATCAAAAGGAAAAGTAAGGGCTAGGCAAGAAGGGTGAGGAAGAACTTTCATTTATTTGTTTCTTACGGTTTAAGTTCAGGGATACACGTGCAGAATGTGAAGTTTTGTTACATGGGTATACATGTGCCATGGTGGTTTGCTGCACCCATCAACCCGTCATCTACATTAGGTATTTCTCCTAAAGCTATCCCTCTCCTAGCCCCCCACCCCACGACAAGACCCTGTGTGTGAGGTTCCCCTCCATGTGTCCATGTGTTCAACCATTGTGGAAGAAAGTGTGGCGATTCCTCAAGGATCTAGAACCTGAAATATCATTTGACCCAGCAGTCCCATTACTGGGCATATACCGAAAAGATTATAAATCATTTTTTAAATATACATGCACATGTATGCTTATTGCAGCACTATTCACGATAGCAAAGACTTGGAACAACCCAAATGCCCATCAATGATAGACTGGATAAAGAAAATGTGGCACATATACACCATGGAATATAGCCATGAAGAAGGATGAATGCATGTCCTTTGCAGGGACGTTGATGAAGCTGGAAACCATCATTCTTAGCAAACTAAACACGAACAGAAAACCAAACACCGCGTGTTCTTACTCATAGGTGGAAATTGAACAATGAGGAAGAATTTTCTAAGCAGAAGGTTTAACTGCAAATCCCCAGATGAGAAAGATTAACATGAGTTCTGGAAACTAGAATTAAGTTGGAATGTCTTTATCCTGTTTTCCACAGCCATCAGCCTAGATCAATCTAGGTAAGCTGTCTCAACCTAGATTATAGCAGTAGCCACCTAGTTTGTCTCCCTGCCTCCATTCTTGCTCCTCTAAGCTGTTTTCCAAAATGTAACCAGAATGGTCTTCCTAATGCATTAATCTAGTAAACATGCCTGTCGTGCTTAAGACTCTGCCATGGCATTGCTGGTGATAAGCAAACTGAGCAGGTGTCTTATCTCTTTCTGCTTTTGACTTCAGGGTAATGGAAGTGGCTGTTGGTGAGAGAAGTTTGTACTATGAGAAAATAGGGTGGATCCTCTGACAAAAGTAGGCTCCAGAGCCAATGAATCAGGTGACTGTTCTGAGGCTGAAGGTACTCCTTATAGAACTGGGGTGCGTTCCGAAAACAGGAAGTCTGGGCCTTTGTGAACGACATTTGAAACATCAGGAGGCATAGGAGAGCCTTAGGATTTTGATAAAGACTGCTGATCCCCAGAGTTGAGATTTTCTTCCAGTAGAGAAAAAGTACATAAGATGCAAAATGCCAATGTCTGTTGATAAGAGAGAAAAACCTATCAACAGATAGCAGCAGCAGATAAAATGGGAGTAGGAGACCTTCATTCTATCACCCATTCCCTCTCATTTCATGATCATTTTAGAGTCTGGCTTGTTAATCTTACCAAAACTACTACTTTGATATTCTAGGTGATTTCAATAAATACATAAATGATCTTTTAAACACCTTAAACTCCTCCCGACCCTACTTCTAGCACTCATAGTCACAGTCTAACCTTGTCATTACAACGGCTGCAACCTCTATAATTTTGGCCTTGTACATCTCACTCTCTGATCACCACCTCATCCACCTTCCTTTCCACTTCACTTCCTCTAGTATCCTGACTTTAACAGTTTTCCTATTCCATGGGGATTCCAGTCTACTCATCTACCACTTTTCACTGCCCCTTGTCCTCTTGATGTCCTCTCTTCACTTTCTTGCCAAATTACCTGCCATTTGATCATTATAATTATTTCCTTGTGCCTGGGCATGGTGGCTCACGCCTGTAATCCCAGCATTTTGAGAGGCCGAAGTGGGCAGAACACCTTAGCTCAGGAGTTTGAGACCAGCCTGGGCAACATGCTGAAACCTCATCTTTACAAAAAAATACAAAACAATTAGCTGGGCATGGTGGCATAGACCTGTAGCCTCAGCTACTCAGGGGGCTGAGGTGGGAGAATCGCTTGAGCCCGGGAGGTTGAGGTTGCAGTGAGCCAAGATCTGAGATTGCACCACTGCACTCCAGCCTCCTGGGTGATACAATGAGACCCTGTCTCCAAAAATAAAATTATTTACATGCATATGCCCTCAACCTTGCCCTCTCTCACTTTGTCATCCTACTTTGGCAAAACCACAACCTTAGTTAAATCCAACTCTAGATCTATCCTTTACCTGCACCAGTGCAGCTGAAAATGGCTGAAGGAAGAAACAAAACTGCTTACTGGTCCTACTTTAAATTCATGGCCATGAACTTTATAAACATTAAAAAAAAAAACCCACACACAATATATAATTTTAAAAAAAGAAGACTTTTATTTTCTATAAAGGATTACAGTTGCCATCCTACAGGCTGGGAAGCATGCCTCAGGCCAAGATCAGAGACAAGGTCTTCAAAGAAGGTGGGGTTGGGGTAAGAGCTTTATGCAAAACAGTTGGCTAAACATATGTATTCAAATTACTGGAGGAGCTATGAATGTTCATGAAGGTGGTCCTGAGATTTTTATTGAACAAACATACATGTAATATGTGGCCCATGTTCACTTTGGGATGGGGACTTAAGGTCTTTTCAGGACATGAAGGCATGCAAGGGCACAACCTCTCTAAACCATCCAGAACCAGCCCATGGTCCAGTTGGTGGTCTTTTTACATGGAGAAAGTTTCTGAAATTGCCTCCTGTTTGATAAAAGCGGTGCTTATGGCTGGTGGAACAGGGGTTCAGTCAGCGTCTGGCAATGGATCAGCTGCAATTGTTTTAATATTGCTTATCAAGGCCAGTGCTTGTTTAGCTGCTAGAGAAAAAAACCTTGTGGCCATTAGAACATAGTTTATTCTTGGAAATGTGGGGTGCATGACTTAACCCTTGCCTGACATGGCCTTAGGTCCTGTTTATGATTTGGTATCTTATTGCTACGAAGAGTCTGTTCTGTCAGTCTTATGATCTCTATTTTACTAATGCTGGTGAATTGTGTCTAAACTGCAAAAGGGAGAGGGTATAACGAGGTATGTCCAACCTCCTGTCCCATCTTAGCTGGGAACTGCTTTGAGGCTTTTCTGGGGTCCCCTTGGCCAAGGTAGGTGTCCATTCAGTTGGTACAGGGCTTAGGATTTGTAGTTTGCAACCTCAAGTGGCTCTTAATGTTGCCAGCAGTTATGCTGTATATCTCCCTGTATTAATCTGTTTTCACACTGCTATAAAGAACTTCCCTGAGACTGGGTACTTTATAAAGGAAAGAGGTTTAATTGACTCACAGTTCTGCATGGCTGGGGAGGCCTCAGGAAACTTAAAATCATGGTGGAAGGGGAAGCAGGTACTTTCTGCACAAGGTGGCAGGAGAGAGAGCACGAAGGAAGAACAGTCAAACACTTATAAAACCATCAGATCTCATGAGAACTCACTCACTATGACAAGAACAGGATGGGGGAAACTGCCCCATGATCCAACTACCTTCCTCCCTTGATACATGAGGATTATAGGTCCCTCCCTTGGCACGTGGGGATTACAATTCGAGATGAGATTTGGGTGGGGACACAGAGTCAAACCATACCACTCCCTGATCTATTCAGTCTCCCATTTTCCTATGATAGTTTACACCTTCCCCTTTCTCTTCAAACCAAGCAGCACCTCTTCCTCGATCCTCATATCCAGCTGACACCATTGTTTCTTCTTTCAACAATTAGAATTTTCACATGTTCCTAGCATTAGATCTACTAAAACCAATGTTCCTGAGTCTGCACCCGTAGATTCTATCTTCCCCATGTTACTACACTACAGCTCCCATCTAAAGCCATTTTCTTCATTTTGCTCTAGACTCAAGCCATCTGTTTATTCAAGAACATTGTCCATCAATTCTTCCCTCTTTCTCTTATCTTGCAGTTTTTTCCACTCTGCTGAATTTTTCCCAGCAAAAATTCTTTGAAAGAGTTATCCGTATTCTTTGTCCCCAGTTCCTCTCTTGTCAAGGTCGCCAATGACGTGTGTGCTGTTGATTCCAATATCCAATTGCTAATTCTCATCGTATTTGACCTATGAGCAGAGTTTGACATAATTTGATGAGGCACTTTTTTCATTGAAATACTTCCTTGATTTGACCCCCCATTTCATTACACTCTTTGTTTTCCTCTTTCCTCATTCAGTACTTCTTTTCATCTCTATTCTGATATTCCATTTTCTTCCACCCTCTTAATGCTGAAATACACCACAGCCTCTCTGTGATCTCATCCAGTCTATGCCTTTAAGAACATGGAACACCTGTCATATTTTTAATATCTTCAGTTAAGAGTGTCTTCTGAATTCCACACTCTTCTCTCTTCCTTGCTCCTGCTTGACATCTCTGCTAGGATAGCTAACATCCATCCCAAATTTAACATGTCCAAAACAGAATCCTCAATTTTTCTCTTAAACTTACTCTATCTGGAATTTTCTTTATTTAGATGATTGTAAATTAATTCTTCCAGCTGCTATGGCTAAATTTTTTTTTTTTTTTTTTTTTTTTTGAGAATGAGTCTCTGTCACCCAGGCTGGAGTGCAGTGGCGTGATCTGGGCTCACTGCAACCTCCACCTCCTGGGTTCAAGTGCTTCTGCCTCAGCCTCCGGAGTAGGTGAGACTATAGGAACGCGACACCATGCCCGGCTAATTTTTTTGTAGTTTTTGTAGAGACGGGGTTTCACCATGTTGGTCAGGCTGGTCTCAAACTCCTGACCTCAAATGATCTGCCCACCTTGGCCTCCCAAAGTGCTGGGATTACAAGCATGAACCACGCACCTGGCCAGGTATGGCTAAAATATTTGCAATCATTCTCTACTTTTCCCTTGATCATACACATTCCACATTCAAGCCATTAAAAATCCTATATCAACCTTCAAATTGTTAATAAATCCAGAATCCAATCACTCATCACTACCTCTATTTCTACTATGCTTGTCTAAGCAAGTGTGATCTCTTGCTTAAATTACTGCAACAGACTATTAACATATCAGCTAGAATAATCCTTTTAAAAGATAAGTCATATGTCATACCTCTGTTCAATTCTCAGTGATCCACCATTCACTCATAGTAAAATCCAAAGTCCTTAAATGGCTACAAGACTCACAGGATCTGCTGGGAATCCATCCCCTCCCCATTCTCTCTCATATTCCTTTTAATATTCTTCCCCTGCGCATTCTATTTCAGTCACATTGAAATGCCTGACACAATCCTGACTAGGGAATGTTGCCCTGTTGTTTTCTCTCTGCAACTCTATTCTCCCAAATATCCCCTGGCCAATTCTCTCACCTTCTTCAAGTCTTTAGTGAGATGTCACTTCCTAATGATGCCTACTAGGTGAAGGTGTAGCCACGAAATTTTTGACATTTCTCCTATCAAGGTAAAAATCCATATCCCATCACCTTGAATAATGGATGGTGTATGACTGCTTGGACCAATAGAGTTTGGCGGACTTAGCTTTGAGACTAGCAATTTCCACCTGGGACCCTTAGAATCCTGAGTTTCCTTGTAAGAAGTCTGATGCCGTGCTTAGAAACCACCTGGAGACATCCTGACACTCCATGGAGGAAGGAGAGGGTCCCAGCTGAGCCTAGGCTTCTAGTCCTCCCTGTCAAGTCCAGGCATGTGAGTGAAGTCATCTTGAACCCTCTTGGACCAGTGAAGTCATGTTGGATCTTGCAGCCCAGCTTAGCCACCAGTTGACACCAGGTAGAACGGAAGAATTGCACAGTTAAGCCCTAGCCAAATTCCTGACCCACAAAATCATGTGATATAATAAAACGGTTGTTGCTTTGAGCCATTAAAGTCTTGGGGTAGTTCATTACACAACAATAACCAAAACATTTATCCTGATTACTAATGTAAAGTTGCAATTTGTGACTATATGTCTCACTTCTCACCTTGCTCTGTTTTTTCCTTCATAGTACTTATCAGCTTCTAACATATAATGTATTTATTTACCATGTTTATTATCTTTCTCTTAGTCAACATCTTTTCCCCCGATTCACCGTAGTATAAACAGGGATTTTTTTTTCTGTTTTATTCACTGATACATACCTGGCACATAGAAATGTTCAATGTGATGAATGAGAAGTAATAAATACTTTATGAGAACATATTAAAGATCTCAACAGAGCTGTCCAAGAATAAGCAAGATATTTTTTAAATGGTATGGTAACTATGTGGTAATACTACAGGAAAAAAAAAATCCGGCAATTAGCTTCATGTTCTCTGCAAAAGACATACCTGGTGACTTTCTTAACAAAATGATGATGTGATTGGTGGAAAAAATGCCAATGTTATTAAAGGATATAATGTTTTTTATAGGAAATAATATGGAAACTTATGGACTCAATTGCACAAAGGCAGGATATGACATAACATGCTACCTAATGGTGGTGTGGACTTGCCAGTCTCCAAAGCTTTCCATAGGGAAATAGAATTGTGTTTTTTATCAACAGCACTGAGTGAAGATTCTGCTACACAAGGGAATCTCACCTTACCATTCTCACAGGATTTTCATCTCCTTCTTTTTTCAACCCCTGCCTATTGCCTCACAACCTGGCTATTCTAGAGACCTGAGCTATATAACTGCCCATAAATCAGAGGCAAAATAATCCCAACATTTTCTGAATGCTTACCATGAGAGTGAGTGAGGCTGACGGCAATTTCCCAGGTCTAGCATCCCTCAAAAAAATCAGCCTGGCCGGGCGCAGTGGCTCACACCTGTAATCCCAGCACTTTGGGAGGCCGAGGTGGGTGGATCACGAGGTCAGGAGATCGAAACCATCCTGGGTAACACAGTGAAACCCGTCTCCACTAAAAATACAAAAAAATTATCTGGGCGTGGTGGCGGGTGCCTGTAGTCCCAGCTACCTGGGAGGCTGAGGCAGGAGAATGGCATGAACCCCGGAGGCAGAGCTGGCAGTAGCTGAGATGGCGCCACTGCACTCCAGCCTGGGCGACAGAGCAAGACTCCATCTCAAAAAAAAAAAAAAAAAAAAATCAGCCTTCAGAATCCTCTGAGATCAATTCTGCAATACTCAAGCAAGTGACAACTGAAGTTTGAAAATAAATAAGTGGGGAAGGACACAGCAGAAAAATAAAAATGTAAGAAACCAAATATAGTATTATCAGAAAAAATCAAAACTCAAAGTTTAAAATGGGGCAAAGGACTATTTTATAATGGTTTTGTGTACACACAGCAAAATCTTCCCCAAAATGTAAGAAATTGGTAAAGCCACCATCATAGTGTCACTCTTTAATAAACTTCTTTCATAATTTGCATATCAAGAAGACAAAAAAGTATACAGAAGATTTAAATAATGCAATCCACAAATATCATGTTATATATACATATTATATCCATATTTATAAAACTTAATAATTTGCAAAGAAAACCTTCAAAAACTTGTGCATTAGGTAGGATTAGCCAGGATAAGGTTGGCTACAGTGACAGAAACCCAAAGTAATGGTGGCTTAAAGAAGATAGAAACTCCCAAAAGAGTGGGGGGAGGTACATCCCTAGAAACACTTAAAGAAGAAAGTCAGTCAAGACGTATTCTACCTTCGACTTTTGAAGCCAACCGTTTGAAGAAAAGCAACTAGGGGTTTTTATTTATTGAGATTGTGGGCGGGACTCTGGTGGCTGTATGCTGTAGCTATGCCATTTATAGCACCAATCCTCTCAAAAGTCTGTTTGCCTTTTGTACCTGCAACTACAAAGCAGATAAAAAATGTGAAAATGTTGCTATGCAGAGGAGGATCCCTGGTAGACATTGGTAATGGCGATGGACACATTAATAACACAGTAATAACAGCTGCAAAGGAAAGATTCACAGCAGTTGGTTGTGAATTAAATCCGTGGCTAGTTTGGTATTCCAAGTATCACGGTTGGCAAGAAAGTGTGCATGGCTCTGCCAAATTTTATATTTCAGATTTGTGGGCAGTTACTTTTTCATAGTACTCAAACACTTATTTTTGGTGTGCCTCTCAGATGATGCTGCAGTTGGAGAAGAAACTTGAACTTGAGGATGATGCCAGAGTCATTGCTTGCCGGTTCCCTTTCCCCCACTGGACCCCAGACCATGTAACCAGGGAGGGGATAGACACAGTGTGGGCATATGACGTGTGCACTTTTAGAGCAGGTGAAGCCCTGAACATCGATGCATTTCCAGCCAGTCATTCAAATATAAACTTTAGTAAGAGTGCTCTTCTGAAATGTTCATGGTCTTCCCTGATTTTATGGAAACTTAACAGCTGTGCACCACAGCCTACTTTTCTTTGGTGTGTGACATGGTTTGGCTCTGTGTCCCCACCCAAATCTCACCTTGAATTGTAGCCCCCGTAATCCCCATGTATCAAGGAGGTAATTGGATCATGGGGGCGGTTTCCCCCATGCTGTTCTCATGATAATGAGTGAATCTCACGAGATCTGATGGTTTTATATGTGTCTGGCATTACTCCTGCTTGCACTCACTCTCTGTTGCCACCCTGTGAAAAAGGTGCCTACTTCTCCTTTGCCTTCCACCATGATTGTAAGTTTCCTGAGGCCTCCCCAGCAATGCAGAACTGTGAGTCAATTAAACCTCTTTCCTTTTTAAATTACCCAGTCTCGGGTATTTCTTCATAGTTGTGTGAGAACAGATTAATACAGTGGGAATATATTAGACATTGTATTAGTGTGAAAAATTACTAGTGTGATTAGAATGAAATGAAAAATTACTATTCCTTTCCTTAACTGTGGGAGAAAACCAACAGAAGTTAAGAAAAACAGGTAGATTTAAAATCTGCTTTCAATGGTATATTCTAAGAAATATACTTACTGCCTTTTTATGCACTTAGATGCATGAAAATATGAATAAGTGGTGGTCATATGGTCATGTTTATGGGTAGGAAAGATGTCAACAGCTCTTCATATTATAAGCAATATGGCTTAATGCCACAAATGAGGAGAAATGATTTTTTTCCCCTGTAAAATTTTCTTTTTTTATTATTATTTTTTAAATTTTACTATCATTATACTTTAAGTCTTAGGGTACATGTGCACAACGTTCAGGTTTGTTACATATGTATACATGTGCCATTTTGGTGTGCTGCACCCATTAACTCGTCATTTAGCATTAGGTATATCTCCTAACGCTATCCCTCCCCCCGCCCCCCACCCCACAACAGTCCCCGATGTGTGATGTTCCCCTTCCTGTGTCCATGTGTTCTCATTGTTCAGTTCCCACCTATGAGTGAGAACACGCGGTGTTTGGTTTTTTGTCCTTGCGATAGTTTGCTGAGAATGATGGTTTCCAGTTTCATCCATGTCCCTACAAAGGACATGAACTCACCATTTTTTATGGCTGCATAGTATTCCATGATGTATATATGCCACATTTTCTTAATCCAGTCTATCATTGTTGGACATGTGGATTGGTTCCAAGTCTTTGCTATCGTGAATAGTGCCGCAATAAACATATGTGTGCATGTGTCTTTATAGCAGCATGATTTGTAGTCCTTTGGGTATATATCCAGTAATGGGATGGCTGGGTCAAATGGTATTTCTAGTTCTAGATCCCTGAGGAATCGCCACACTGACTTCCACAATGGTTGAACTAGTTTACAGTCCCACCAACAGTGTAAAAGTGTTCCTATTCCCCACATCCTTTCCAGCACCTGTTGTTTCCTGACTTTTTAATGATCTCCATTCTAACTGGTGTGAGATGGTATCTCATTGTGGTTTGGATTTGCATTTCTCTGATGGCCAGTGATGATGAGCATTTTTTCATGTGTTTTTTTGTCTGCATAAATGTCTTCTTTTGAGAAGTGTCTGTTCATATCCTTCGCCCACTTGTTGATGGGGTTGTTTGTTTTTTTCTTGTAAATTTGTTTGAGTTCATTGTAGATTCTGGATATTAGCCCTTTGTCAGATGAGTAGCTTGCAAAAATTTTCTCCTATTCTGTAGGTTGCCTGTTCACTCTGATGGTAGTTTCTTTTGCTGTGCAGAAGCTCTTTAGTTTAATTAGATCCTATTTGTCAATTTTGGCTTTTGTTGCCATTGCTTTTGGTGTTTTAGACATGAAGTCCTTGCCCATGCCTATGTCCTGAATGGTATTGCCTAGGTTTTCTTCTAGGGTTTTTATGGTTTTAGGTCTAACATTTAAGTCTTTAATCCATCTTGAATTAATTTTTGTATAAGGTGTGAGGAAGGGATCCAGTTTCAGCTTTCTACATATGGCTAGCCAGTTTTCCCAGCACCATTTATTAAATAGGGAATCCTTTCCCCATTGCTTGTTTTTGTCAGGTTTCTCAAAGATCAGATAGTGGTAGATACGCGGCATTATTTCTGAGGGCTCTGTTCTGTTCCATTGATCTATATCTCTGTTTTGGTACCAGTACCATGCTGTTTCGGTTACTGTAGCCTGTAGTATAGTTTGAAGTCAGGTAGGGTGATGCCTTCAGCTTTGTTCTTTTGGCTTAGGATTGACTTGGCGATGCGGGCTCTTTTTTGGTTCCATATGAACTTTAAAGTAGTTTTTCCAATTCTGTGAAGAACATCATTGGTAGCTTGATGGGGATGGCATTGAATCTATAAATTACCTTGGGCAGTATGGCCATTTTCATGATATTGATTCTTCCTACCCATGAGCATGGAATGTTCTTCCATTTGTTTGTATCCTCTTTTATTTCATTGAGCAGTGGTTTGTAGTTGTCCTTGAAGAGGTCCTTCATGTCCCTTGTAAGTTGGATTCCTAGGTATTTTCTTCTCTTTGAAGCAATTGTGAATGGGAGTTCACTCGTGATTTGGCTCTCTGTTTGTCTGTTATTGGTGTGTAAGAATGCTTGTGATTTTTGTACATTGATTTTGTATCCTGAGACTTTGTTGAAGTTGCTTATCAGCTTAAGGAGATTTTGGGCTGAGACAATGGGGTTTTCTAGATATACAATCATGTCATCTGCAAACAGGGACAATTTGACTTCCTCTTTTCCTAATTCAATGCCCTTTATTTCCTTCTCCTGCCTGATTGCCCTGGCCAGAACATCCAACACTATGTTCAATAGGAGTGGTGAGAGGGGGCATCCCTGTCTTGTGCCAGTTTTCAAAGGGAATGCTTCCAGTTTTTATCCATTCAGTATGATATTGTCTGTGGGTTTGTCAGAGACAGCTCTTATTATTTTGATATATGACCCATCAATACCTAATTTATTGAAAGTTTTTAGCATGAAGCATTCTTGAATTTTGTCAAAGGACTTTTCTGCATCTATTGAGATAATCATGTGGTTTTTGTCTTTGGTTCTGTTTATATGCTGGATTGCATTTATTGATTTGAGTATGTTGAACCAGCCTTGCATCCCAGGGATGAAGCCGACTTGATCATGGTGGATAAGCTTTTTGATGTGCTGCTGGATTCGGTTTGCCAGTATTTTATTGAGGATTTTTGCATCGATGTTCATCGAAGATATTGGTCTAAAATTCTCTTTTTTGGTTGTGTCTCTGCCAGGCTTTGGTATCAGGATGATGCTGGCCTCATAAAATGAGTTAGGGAGGATTCCCTCTTTTTCTATTGATTGGAATAGTTTCAGAAGGAATGGTACCAGCTCCTCTTTGTACCTCTGGTAGAATTCGGCTGTGCATCCATCTGGTCCTGGACTTTTTTTGGTTGGTAAGCTATTGATTATTGCCTCAGTTTCAGAGCCTATTATTGGTGTATTCAGAGATTCAGCTTCTTCCTGGTTTAGTTTTGGGAGGATGTATGTGTCGAAGAATTTATCCATTTCTTCTAGATTTCCTAGTTTATTTGCATAGAGGTGTTTATAGTTTTCTCTGATGGTAGTTTGTATTTCTGTGGGATCGGTGGTGATATCCCCTTTATCATTTTTTATTGCGTCTATTTGATTCTTCTCCCTTTTCTTCTTTATTAGTCCTGCTAGCGGTCTATCAATTTTGTTGATCTTTTCAAAAAACCAGCTCCTGGATTCATTGATTTTTTGAAGGGTTTTTTATGTCTCCATTTCCTTCAGTTCTGCTCTGATCTTAGTTATTTCTTGCCTTCTGCTAGCTTTTGAATGTGTTTGCTCTTGCTTTTCTAGTTCTTTTATTTGTGATGTTAGGGTGTCAATTTTAGATCTTTCCTGCTTTCTCTTGTGGGCATTTAGTGGTATAAATTTCCCTCTACACACTGCTTTGAATGTGTCCCAGAGATTCTAGTATGTTGTGTCTTTGTTCTCGTTGGTTTCAAAGAACATCTTAATTTCTGCCTTCATTTCGTTATGTACCCAGTAGTCATTCCGGAGCAGGTTGTTCAGTTTCCATGTAGTTGAGCGGTTTTGAGTGAGTTTCTTAATCCTGAGTTCTAGTTTGATTGCACTGTGGTCTGAGAGACAGTTTGTTATAATTTCTGTTCTTTTACGTTTGCTGAGGAGTGCTTTACTTCCAACTATGTGGTCAATTTTGGAGTAGGTGTGGTGTGGTGCTGAAAAGAATGTATATTCTGTTGATTTGGGGTGGAGAGTTCTGTAGATGTCTATTAGGTCCGCTTGGTGCAGAGCTGAGTTCAATTCCTGGGTATCCTTGTTAACTTTCTGTCTCGTTGATCTTTCCAGTGTTGACAGTGGGGTGTTAAAGTCTCCCATTATTAATGTGTGGGAGTCTAAGTCTCTTTGTAGGTCACTAAGAACTTGCTTTATGAATCTGGGTGCTCCTGTATTGGGTTCATATATATTTAGGATAGTTAGCTCTTCTTGTTGAATTGATCCCTTTACCATTATGTAATGGCCTTCTTTGTCTCTTTTGATCTTTGTTGGTTTAAAGTCTGTTTTATCAGAGACTAGGATTGCAACCCCTGCCTTTTTTTGTTTTCCATTTGCTTGGTAGATCTTTCTCCATCCCTTTATTTTGAGCGTATGTGTGTCCCTGCACGTGAGATGGGTTTCCTGAATACAGCACACTGATGGGTCTTGACTCTTTATCCAATTTGCCAGTCTGTGTCTTTTAATTGGAGCATTAGGCCATTTACATTTAAGGTTAGTATTGTTATGTGTGAATTTGATCCTGTCATTATGATGTTAGCTAGTTATTTTGCTCGTTAGTTGATGTAGTTTCTTCCTAGCCTTGATGGTCTTTACGATTTGGCATGTTTTTGCAGTGGCCGGTTGTTCCTTTCCATGTTTAGTGCTTCCTTCAGGAGCTCTTATAGGGCAGGCCTGGTGGTGACAAAATCTCTCAGCCTTTGCTTGTCTGTAAAGTATTTTATTTCTCCTTCAGTTATGAAGCTTAGTTTGGCTGGATATGAAATTCTGGGTTGAAAATTCTTTTCTTTAAGAATGTTGAATATTGGTCCCCACTCTCTTCTGGCTTGTAGAGTTTCTGCTGAGAGATCAGCTGTTAGTCTGATGGGCTTCCGTTTGTGGGTAACCCAACCTCTGGCTGCCCTTAAGATTTTTTCCTTCATTTCAACTTTGGTGAATCTGACAATTCTGTGTCTTGGAGTTGCTCTTCTCGAGGAATATCTTTGTGGCGTTCTCTGTATTTCTTGAATTTGAATGTTGGCCTGCCTTGCTAGATTGGGGAAGTTCTGCTGGATAATATCCTGCAGAGTGTTTTCCAACTTGATTCCATTCTCCCTGTCACTTTCAGGTACACCAATCAGACGTAGATTTGGTCTTTTCACATAGTCCCATATTTCTTGGAGGCTTTGTTCGTTTCTTTTTATTCTTTTTTCTCTAAACTTCTCTTCTCGCTTCATTTCATTCGTTTCATCTTCCATCACTGATACCCTTTCTTCCAGTTGATCGCATCAGTTACTGAGGCTTCTGCGTTCGTCACGTAGCTCTTGTGCCTTGGTTTTCAGCTCCATCAGGTCCTTTAAGGACTTCTCTGCATTGGTTATTCTATTTATCCATTCATCTAATTTTTTTTCAAAGCTTTTAACTTCTTTGCCATTGGTTCGAATTTCCTCCTGTAGTTCGGAGTAGTTTGATCGTCTGAAGCCGTCTTCTCTCAACTCATCAGAGTCATTCTCCACGAAGCTTTGTTCTGTTGCTGGTGAGGAGCTGCGTTCCTTTGGAGGAGGAGAGATGCTCTGATTTTTAGAGTTTCCTGTTTTTCTGCTCTGTTTTTTTCCCATCTTTGTGGTTTTATCTACCTTTGGTCTTTGATGATGGTGACGTACAGAGGGGTTTTTGGTGTGGATGTCCTTTCTGTTTGTTAGTTTTCCTTCTACCAGACAGGACCCTCAGCTGCAGGTCTGTTGGAGTTTGCTAGAAGTCCACTCCAGACCCTGTTTGCCTGGGTATCAGCAGCGGTGGCTGCAGAACAGCAGATATTGGTGAACCGCAAATGCTGCTGCCTGATGGTTCCTCTGGAAGTTTTGTGTCAGAGGAGTACCCGGCCGTGTAAGGTGTCAGTCCGCCCCTACTGGGGGGTGCCTCCCAGTTAGGCTACTCGGGGGTCAGGGACCCACTTGAGGAGGCAGTCTGCCCATTCTCAGATCTCCAGCTGCATGCTGGGAGAACCACTACTCTCTTCAAAGTGGTCAGAGAGGGACATTTAAGTCTGCAGAGGTTACTGCTGTCTTTTTGTTTGTCTGTGCCCTGCCCCCAGAGGTGGAGCCTACAGAGGCAGGCAGGCCTCCTTGAGCTGTGGTGGGCTCCACCCAGTTTGAGCTTCCTGGCCACTTTGTTTACCTAATCAAACAACTAACTTGGCAATGGTGGATGCCCCTCCCCCAGCCTCGCTGCTGCCTTACAGTTTGATCTCGGACTGCTGCGCTAGCAGTGAGCCAGACTCCGTGGGCATAGGACCCTCTGAGCCAGGTGAGGGATATAATCTCCTGGTGTGCCGTTTTTTAAGCCCATTGGAAAAGCGCAGTATTAGGGTGGGAGTGACCCAATATTCCAGGTGCCATCTGCCACCCCTTTCTTTGACTAGGAAAGGGAATTCCCTGACCCCTTGCGCTTCCCAGGTGAGGCAATGCCTCGCCCTGCTTTGGCTCGCGTGCAGTGCGCTGCACTCACTATCCTGTGCCTACTGTCTGCCACTCCCCAGTGAGATGAACCCAGTACCTCAGTTGGAAATGCAGAAATCACCTGTCTTCTGCATCGCTCACGCTGGGAGCTGTAGACCAAAGCTGTTCCTATTCGGCCATCTTGGCTCCTCCGAGAAATGATTTTTTTTTGAGAGGGGGTCTCACTTTGTCACCCAGGCTGGAGTGCAATGGTACGATCTTGGCTCACTGCAACCTCTGCCTCCCTGGCTCAAACAATCCTCCTATCTCAGCCTCCTGAGTAGCTGGGACCACAGGTGTGTGCCACCATACCCAGCTAACTTTTTGTATTTTTGATAGAGATGGGGTTTCACCATGTTGCCCAGGCTGGTCTCAAACTCTTGAGCCCAAGTGATCCACCCACCTAGGCCTCCCAAAGTCCTGGGATTACAGGCATGACCCACCATGCCTGGCCCCGAGAAATGATTTTAAAAAGTAGCAAATGTGAATTTGAATGTGAGTCAACAAGCTTCATGTATCTGAAAAGTGAATATTGAATGATAGCTCGAATAATCCATGCTTATCACAAAAGAGAATTGAACTCTCAGTCATATACCTGTAACCTAAATACTGAACTATCTTGATGGAGATGTAACAAAGTAAGATGGTTACATCTTTAAACTTATATGATCAAGTTGATAATTTTCTTTTAAATGAGAAAAAAGAAGATAGAAGCTTATTCTCTCACATAAATGTAGTCAAAGCTGATTTGGAAGTTCTGTTATTATCAGGGACTCAATCTCCTTCTAGCCTGCTCCTTGGTCATTCCTAACAAATAGCTTCCACCAGTAGTATAAGAATGCCATTCTGGTTCCATCTACCATCTCCTTTTTAGCTATGGAGAAAAAAAATGGAAGGAAAAGGGCCTGCTTTTAGCTTTTAATAAAACTTTTGGGGAGTACCATCAATTACTTCTACTTACATACTTTTGGCCCAAAGCTTAGTCACATGGACACATCTAGCTAGAATGAAAGTTGGAAAATTTTTACATATTCTGGATCTTCATGGGTCCAGATAGAATTTGTCATGTTTACTACAGAAGGCAAAGGAGAAGGAGAAGGAGAAGAAGAAGAAAAAGAAGAAGGAGGAGGAGGACAGAAAGAAGAAGAAAGCTATTGAAGGGCAACAATCAGTGTCCCATCTTGCACACCTAAAAAATGTGTTTGTTCTAGAGTTCCCATGTTGGATAATTTGGCTGTGTATAGAACTCTAATTTGGACAGCAACTGTCCTTTAAATGTGGAAGGCATATGTTCTATTGTCTTCTAAATTGTAATATTGTTATTGAGATGTCTGATGGAACTCTGATTCTTGAACTCTTGTTTATGGCCTGTCTTTCTGGAAACCATTAAAGTCTTTTCTCCTGGAGATCTTCATTCCACTGGGTAATTCTCGGAGTTCTGAAATTTCATGATGATGAACATGGGGATGAGCCTTTTCTCCTTCATTGTGCTGGGTACTTAAAAAACTTTTGATTTGGACATTTGACATTTGAACCTTTATTTCTGGGAAATTGTCTTGAATACTTTCCTTTCACTTTTTATCTCTCTTTCTGGAACATGTATTTTTCAGACATTTCATAGCCTGGGCTAGTTCTCTAATAAACCTATAATTTCTCTCCTACTTCCAAACTTCTATTGAGGTGCTTTTTTTTTTTCTTTTCTTTTTCTTTTTGGGACGGAGTTTCACTCTGTTGCCCAGGCTGGAGTGCAGTGGTGCAATCTCGGCTCACTGCAACCCCCACCTCCCAGGTTTAAGAGATTCTCTTGCCTCGGCCTCCTGAGCAGCTGGGACTACAGGCGTGCACCACCATGCCTGGCTAATTTTTGTATTTTTAGTAGAGACGGGGTTTCGCCATGTTGGCCAAGCTGGTGTTGAACTCCTGACCTCAGGTGATCTGCCTGCCTCAGCCTCCTAAAGTGCTGGGATTACAGGCGTGAGTCACCGCACTCAGCCTCTATTGAGTTTTTAATTAGTTTTCATATTTTTAATTTCCAAGAATTTTTTTTTGTTCTCTGAATGTCCTTTTTAATAGCATATTGTTCTTGTTTCAAGGATGCACTCTTATCTTTCCATGGATATTAATGATTTTGTATTAGCTCAGTCACAGTTTCTTTTTATTCTTTGTTTTGACCTCTGTCTTTCATGTTAGATTGAATATTTCTAATGACTGATGATTCTTGACTATCTTCTCATATTTAATATCGAGCTACCTAAAAGCTGATGGGAAACTCTATGCATGGGTGGGATTTATTACCTAATAGACTCTATAATACAGTAATCTATTTGTACTGTTTTATTGGGAGCCCCTGACTCTCAGTATGTATAGGTCTTTTTTGGGGGGTGGGGAGTACTGGTCAGATTCCTAAGAAACTCTTGTTTATGTGGTTTGAAACTGACTGCCATGTTTTGGAATCTAAGTAGGGGAAAGGGGTTGTTGCCTTTCACTTAAACCACCTCCCGTCTTTTTTTGGTAGAATACCCCTCATTCTCTGTGAAGCACAGTGTACCCAAATTCAGTCTTTTTGGTCGAACTCTCTAACCAGTTAAACTCCAGGCTTCTGCCATAGTGGAGGAATGGCGTTATATGGTGGCAAAAGGTGGAGGGCAGGTGTGGGAGTGGTGGGGGTGGGATGAAGGGGGAGGAAGGGTGAAATAGATGGCTGTGGTCTAGCAGCATCTTATATGAACTTTCAGCTAGTTCTCATGCATTAAGTCTATCAGTTCCCTTGCTTTCAGTGGCACCTTATGCTTCAGTTCCTGATATTTCCCCAGGATTTTAAAAATTCAGATAGCTTATTTCTGGGATTTCCCCATTGCCTGCTTACATTTAGGCAGAGAAGAGGATAATAACTTCTTCATTTGCTTTCCAGTTTTCAAATTTTTGTTGCTGCATTTATCTCTCTTCCAGTTTTCTTTGTTCATGTGGGTTTATGCCTTTCCTCTTTTACTATCTGTGTTTATCAGAGTTCTCCAGAGAGACAGACAGAACCAATAGGGATTATACATGAGAAAATTTATTATGGGAATTAGCTCACACAATAATGGAGGCTGAGAAGTGCAACCACCTGCCCTCTGCAAGCTGGAGAACCTGGAAAGCCAGTGGTGCAATTCAATCCGAGGCTGAAGATCTGAGAATTGGGACCTCCATTGTCTAAAAGCAGGAGAAGATGGATATCCCAGCTCAAGAAGAGAGAGAATTTGCCTTTCCTCTACATTTTTTTTTTTTCTATTTGGGCTCTTAATGGATTGATCATGGCCACCCAGATTGCTGAAGGCAATTTTCCTTACTCATTCTACTGATTCAAATGCTAACCTCTTTCAGAAACATCCTCACAGGCACACACAGAAATAATGTTTTGCCAGCTATCTGGGCATTCCTTAGCCCAGCCAAGTTGACATGTAAAATTAACCATCACACTTTCATTTTAGTGGAGGTTAGTGAAGAAGCAAAGGTAAATATGTGAGTTCAACTTACTATGTTTAATTCAACAATTTGTTGCTGTTTTTAACATAAGGAGTTTTAATTCTCTTTTCTATCTGTTCTTCTCAGTTTACTGTCTAATTTCTAGAGATGCTAATTAGCATATTAGCTTAAAAATGTGCAAAAGACTCATTTAGCTAATCTCTGGCTGTTTTAAGCTCTATCTTCCATAAAGTCCCTTACCCTACCCCACACATACCAGTTTATTAAAGGAGCTAAGCTTTTTCTCATGGTTCATACTTATTGAGTAGTAAGTATGATGTTTTTACTTTATATTGATTAGCTCATCAAATATTTATGGTAGTGTTATGGGTTAGATAGTACTATCCTCACTTTATAGATGAGAAAACTGAGTGATAGAAACATATTTTTTGCCTAAGACAAAGCAATAAGTGGCAAGACCAGACTTTAGTGGTCTTATTCTTTTTTTTTTTTTTTTTTTGAGACAGAGTCTTACTCTGTCACCCAGGCTGGAGTGCAATGGCGCGATCTCAGCTCACTGCAACCTTTGCCCCTCCAGGTTCAAGCGATTCTCCCTGCCTCAGCCTCCAGAGTAGCTGGGATTACAGACGTCTGCCACCATGGCCGGCTAATTTTTGTATTTTTAGTAGAGATGGAATTTCACCATGTTGGTCAGGATGGTCTCAAACTCCTGACCTCAGGTGATCTGCCTACCTCGGCCTCCCAAAGTGTTGGGATTACAGGAATGAGCCACCGTGCCTGGCCTAGTGGTCTTATTCTTAACCTTAGAACATCAAACATGCATCCTTTTGTTTTTCCATTTTCCCCTGTTGCTATATTGTCTTGTTTGGGCAAATGTAGTTAATTACTGGAAGAATTATGTAATTTTTATTTTTAAAGAGAATTTCTCTTGGCTTTTATATTAATATTTATATTAATATTTGCCCATTTGACATAGGTAATATTTTTTTTTTCGAGACAGGGGTTCACACTGTCATCCAGGCTTGAATACAGTGGCATGATCTTGGCTCAGCCTTGACCTCAAGTGATCCCACCTCAGCCTCTTGAGTAGCTGGGACTACAGGTGTGTGCCATCATGCCCAGCTAATTAAAAAATTTTTTTTGTAGAGATGAAGTCACACTATGTTGCCCAAGCTGGTGACATGGGTAATTTATTAGAGTGTTGTAATGTGCTTCTCACAACCCTCATGCTCCAGGAGGCCAATTTAGAGCATACTTTTCCTTTTGATAGCTTAGCACCTTATCCACAGCACTGTAATTACATGCTACACACAACAGATTCATTTGCTACAATGTTCATTTTTAAAGAATTGTCAAATCTGCTGATCATTTGCCAACTCTTTTGTGCCAAAATGTTATTTATGAAGTTAATTTATAATAATTATTAATTATGAATACTTTATAGCATATCAATTATTCTAAACACTTTCCACTTTGCCTGCAGATAAATCAGTCTGCCTTGTGAAAGCAAACAAACAAAAAATCCTTGACAACCACTTCCTTGCCAAGATTGACCAAACACATACAGAATTTGCCTATGTCCACAAATACCTTAATCTTTATTTGCAATGGTTTTAGAAAAACATTAAGCATAAAACATTTGTATTATAAATTCTTTAGTTGACTCTTTTTTGTCCTATGTGTCAGTCCCTCTCTTTGTAAAACTAAGATTTATATATCTACCTTGCCAGGGTGGGAAAAGACTCAGTAAAGAAATGTGAAAGTGAATCAAAAGTTTGAAAAGGTATAATAATTCTGTCTTTCCTTTTTTAACAAATATCCACAGTATTTCAGAGATTCCTTAGTCATCTCAGGGAATAAATTGAGTACTTCAGGCTGCCTACATTGAAGAGAAGGTTCTCATATGAATGCCAGGTAGTTTGTGTCCCATTCATTCCTACCAAGGTTCTTGTTTAAGAATGGGTTGTTACTCAATTGTTGTAATGTAAATAGAAATTTTTCTGTCTTTAATCATTTCAGCTTAGTTAACCCACAGTTATTCTTTTAAAAACTAGGAAATACAAATGAGTAAAAGGTAAAAAAATTCACATAAGCTCAGAGATAACCAGGGTTTACATTTGGTATGTATCTTTTCAGACATTTTTCTACACACATACATATATTGTGAAGGGAACCAGAATATGCCACTTTGGCATGAGGATTATTTTGAGCTGAAGGCAATTAAGAAATAGCTTATGCAGAAAAAACTCTCTGCCCTCCTCCATCTGACTAAAAGCAGGACATAAATTTCTACTTGTAAAGGTGTTTACCTCTTTTGTACCAGAAAGAAGAGAACAACTCTTTTTTTTAAATTACACTTTAAGTTTTAGGGTACATGTGCAGAACGTGCAGGTTAGTTATATATGTATACATGTGTCATGTTGGTGTGCAGCACCCATCAGCTCGTAGGGATATGGATGAAGCTGGAAACCATCATTCTCAGCAAACTATCGCAAGGACAAAAAACCAAGCACCACATGTTCTCACTCATAGGTGGGAATTGAACAATGAGAACACGTGGACACAGGAAGGGGAACATCACTCTTTTTGTTTTTTAAGAGATGGGGTCTCGCTCTGTCTTCTGAGTAGCTGGGACTACAGGTGTGCACCACCACACCTGGCTAATTTATTTTTGTAGAGACAGGGTCTCGCTATGTTGCCCAGGCAGGTCTTGAACTTTTGGTCTCAAATGATCCTTCTGCCTTGGCCTCCCAAAGTGCTGAGATTACAGGTGTGTGAGCCACAGCTCCCAGGAGAACAACTCTTAATCACCAGGACTCTTAATTACTTGAGAGGACTCTAGAACTCTTATCAGCCCTGAGATGCACCAAGACAAATCTGCAGAACAAATCTTACTAAACAACCTTTATTTACCATTAATTTCCTCATATATTTACGCCTCACATTTACCACCCCTAGGACATTCCCTTGCCTCCGTTTCCTTTGACCTGTCATAGCTCCAGAATTTAGCATTCTTTGTTGAAATGGTATATAAGTGCTCAAGCCTATTTGCTTCTTTGAATCTTCATTTCTTTTTTACAAAGGCCTCCATGTACATGTAAACATATTAATATCAAATAACATTTGTATGCCTTTTCTCCTATTAATCTGTCTTTTATCAGTTTTATTGGCAGGGCCCCAGCTGCTGAACTTAGAAAGGTAGAGGGAAATTGTTTTTCCTCCTCTGCCATTTTATCAGTCGGTGTTCAGTCAGGGAAGCAAAGCCACCAAAAATGTCACAGAATAAGGAAGTGATTATATGAATTAGACCTTGCCCAATTGTGAGGGAAGCTGAGGAAGTGAAAGTCTGAAGGGAGGAGGATCAAGAAAGAGCTACTAACCAGTTCTCCCTAAGCTCTGGTGTGGGTGAAGAATTTGGAGCTCTCAGGGAAATATGAGCGAGAGCTTGTGGCGAGGTGTCTGGGTTGCTGGGTTTGGTGGTGTGAGCCTGTAGTCCCACCTACTCAGGAGCTGAGGTGGGAGGATAGCTTGATCCCAGGAGGTGGAGGCTGCAGTGAGCCAAGATTGTGCCACAGCGCTCCAGCCTGGCTGACCCTGTCTCAAAAAAAAAGTAATAAAATAAATAAAATGCCAACCAAGAATCAATCTAAAAAATTTTTTTAAAAGAGAAAGAGCTACACTGGCCAATACAAATGCTGAGGAGGAGATAGAGAATGTTGAGTAGGATTAGGATTAGGAATATTGAGGAGCCTGATGTTTAGGAAAAGAATGGAGATGAGTGTGGCAAAGCTAAGAGCTAGAGAGGGCAGGGTGACAGAACAGGTGATGTGACTTCCCAGAGGCGGAAAACTGATGGCAATGATGAGACAGCACTAAAGGGAAATTAAACAGGGTTTTCTTAAAAGAGTATAGTTTCAGGGGCTGGGAGGATGGGAATGAGGGTTGTTTAATGGGTATAGAGTTTCAGTTTGGCAAAAGAAAAAAAGTTCTTGAGATTGATAGCATGACAATGTGAATATATTTAACACAGTTGAACTGTACACTTAAAATTGGTTAAGATGGCAAATTTTATGGTATGTGTATTTTAACACAATTTTAAAAAAAGGATATAGTGATCCATACAGCTTCAGCTTCTCATTTTGAAATCCAATTGGAGTAGAGGGTCCCTCCTGCATTACCACCCTATTAGATAATATGATGCTTTTTAATTACTTTTTAAAATTTTATTTTCTTTAGACTATGTTGCCCAGGCTGATCTGAAGCTCCTGGGCTCAAGTGATCCTTCTGCTTAGACTTCCCAAAGTGCTTGGATGACTGGCATGTGTCACTACACCCAGCCCAATGATGCTTTTTAAATAAGATGCCATAAAACCAGCTTAGATGAACACTTCCAGCAGAGGAAGGAAAAGGCAAAGATTCCAAGGCCAGGTTTTGTTCTCAAAAATTACTTTTAAAGGGAAAGTTTTATTTGTATTTTAACTTATATTAATTTACAATTGCATTTAAAAATTAAGTTGTTGAGTTCATTTGATGAGCAAAACCATCTTTGAAGTATTCTGAATCTTACTGAGCTATTACTGTGATGTAACCATGTTTGTTATAATTTCGAAAGACAAACTTATTTTACAAAAGGAAAACAACAAAAATATTTTATTTGGAACATTTTGTTAGCCTTTTTACTTCCAAGTCTAAAACATCTGCAATTTATCCTTCTCTTTTCCCCTCCTACCTCTACCACCAACACTTGCTGCCTGAATGCAGTTTTTATACATAGACACAATTGTAATTGCCTAGTTATGGAGCCATGTGTATATTTTGGCAGATGGTCCTGTGTATGTTAGACCAGTAAAAAGCAGGACTAAATTAACAGCAGTATCAGGATAAAAGAAAAAGTCTCAGCCAACATTCTGTTAAAAAAAAATCATTGTGTGACACAAATAAAGACCTGAGAAGGTTTGAATTTTGCATCTTTGGGTAACATATATGGAAACAATTCTCTACTTATAAATTATATTATAGCACTGTATTATACTTTTTAAGTGCTTAATGAGTACTGAACAACAGAAAGCTCATCATGTAGTGAATACCAAATAAACAGTCAAGATTTTAGAAAGTGCTTCCTTCCATCATCACAGAAACACATGGAGCCGGGTAGCAGAAATAATGGGAATCTCTTAATGGCTGAATCAGTATGATACCACAGAGGCATATTTGCAACTTCGCATTGCTCCTTCTGAGGCCAGATTAAGAACCTAACAACACACCAATTGCACATTCCAGGTTCAAGGGGGAAAACCCCAAAATGTAATAAAATGTGAGGTAAATCATATGTTTTGGAATTAGCAATAAAGGAGGCAGATGCTCTGACAATAATGCTGAGATATCCAGGGAGGCATCAAGGAACTTGCACGATGATTCTTTCTTAGATTAGCACCACCTAATTAAGAATAATTGAATTGTAGGTGCTGCTTGTAAGGCCTATAGCATTTGTCTTGTTGAAAGTAACTCCAAAACACACCCACACTTGAATTAATTCACTGGTAGCTATTGAAAGAGGAGTAAAATCGTTCAGCAAGCTAATCAGAAGGGTTGGACAGCTGGGGCTGAAAACTGTAATGTCAATTCTGCACCATGGCCTCACTATATTGTGTAATATGTTATTGAGCAGGTGGGTTGACCCTTCTGCCTCAGTTTCTTAGTGGTGAAGCTGGAAAACAGATACAACTCAGATCTACATAGCCTTCTGGTCTTCCTGGTTCTGCTCATCCCAACAACCCAAACTAAATACCAGTGTCAAATGTATTGATCCCCATTTCTACTTTGATCATATAGAAGCAAAAAATGACACTTCGCCCTGCTTTCAATATAATTAAGCACTTCACATACGGCAGTCAGAGAAAACATGCAACTCTCAGACATAAATCAAAATTAACAAGGTCACCCTGGCTGGGTGTGGTCTCTATAATGGTAAAACCTTGAATGTTTTTCATAAACCATTTTATATCTGACAGTTGCCATGGTGGTGTCTGAAGATACATCATGACCTTTGTGAATATGAAAATCATGTGAGAAAGCTACTGTCTTTCCTGCATGTGCAGACTAATGCTAACTTGGAAACCTGGGTAATTTTGCACCTTTTAAATGTAAATACTCATATTTGGCTAGCCAGTTCTGCTGAAGTGTGTCTGTCTTGGAAAATAAATGTTTTCTTTCCTTTTCTAAATGCTCCCTTCTCTGAGTCTTCCTTTACCAATCATCTCAAAAGACTTTTACAAAGCCTCTAATTTTTTTTTATTGCTTATCCAATGAAATCCTAATTCCTTTGGCTGACATGTCACAGCTTCTGAAATCTGACCTTTTCCTTCTCCAAACATATGTCCCTTTGTTCCTTCATGTGAATTCCACAGCAGTCAGGTAGAACATGATGCCTGGATTTTCATTTCTGCATCTTTGTTCATGATACTCCTTTTACCTGCAAAATCCCCCGCACACCTCTTTATCAATACAAATGATTCCCGTCTCTCCAGGTGCAGCGCAGGTCCTGTGTTGGCCGTGAAACCTCACCAGTAGCTCACAGGGCTTTTCCTTCTCTCATCTCATAGTCTGTGCCATGCAGTCAGCACTTAGTCATTTGTTGTTATGTGAATTATTTTGCATTAACTTTTTATGTTCGCATAGCCCATCTCTCTAGATAGATTATGAACTTCTATCCATAAATAAAATTGGCTTTTCTAATTTTCCTAATGCAGGTCTGAAAAGCATCTTGGGGCTTGAAAGCTGAATACTGTATTGTTCTGCCTTCTACATATATGTAACTGCATTAGTGAGATGTGGAATAAATTGGGGTATAAACTGCTTTTAATAATTCTATGCTGTATGAGTCCATTCTTGCATTGCTATAAAGAAATACCTGAGACTGAGTAATTTATAAGAAAAGAGGTCTAGTTGGCTCACTGTTCTGCAGGCTGTATAGGAAGCATAATGCTGGCATCTTCTTCTGGGGAGGCCTCAGGAAACTTACAGTCATGGTGGAAAGCAAAGAGGGAGCAGGCTCTCACATGGTGGGAGCAGGAGTGAAAGAGAGAGAGAGAGAGGGAGAGAGAGAGCAAGAGTGAGAGAGCGAGAGGGGGGAAGTGCTGCACTTTTAAATGACCAGATCTCACAAGAGCTCACTCACATCAGGAAGACAGCACCAAACCATAAGTGATGCACCCCATGATGCAAACGTCTCCCACCAGGTCCCACCTCCATCACTGGAGATTACATTTCAACATGAGATTTTGGTGGGGACAAATATTCCAATTATATCACATGCCAAATCTCACTTTACAACCTCCTAACAATACCTTGGGCGGATTCCAAAATTTTCAGATCTCTTTTTGTTATTAAAACAATCTAGTCCAGGCCAGGCACGGTGTCTCACACCTATAAATCCCAGCTACTCGGGAGGCTGAGGTGGGAAGATCGCTTGAGCCCAGGCAGGACGAGGCTGGATGCAGTGAGCTGTGATTGCACCAATTGCAGTCCAGCCTGGGCGATAGAGTGAGACCAAAAAGTAGCCAAAGCTACTTTTCTAAGAGGGGCTCTTTGCAAACATTAATCCTGTTCAAATTGTAAAGTGAATAGCTGCTTCATTTCTAAATAAGGTAATTCTAATGAAAGTCTAAGATTCCAGGCATCCCATTATGTTATGTATTAAAAGCACAGAATTCTTTACTTCACTAAAGAAGAGACTATTCCAACAGTGTATTTTCAGTCCCCAATCTTTCTAAAATTTGTGATATATAAATTCCATTCAATTACGGATCTTTTGGGATATTTGAGTAAATTTCAGGCATTTTTCAGATAATTCATATATATATTCATATGTGTATATATATACATATGTGTGTGTATGTGTGTGTGTGTGTGTGTGTATATATATATATATATATATATATATATATATATATAAAAATATATATATATGTAGAGATGGAGTCCCACTCAGGCACGTGCCACCACACTCAGCTAATTTTTGTATTTTTAGTAGAGATGGGGTTTCACCATGTTGGCCAGGATGGTCTTGATCTCTTGACCTTTCAGTGCTGGGATTACAGGTGTGAGCCTCCATGCCCAGCCTCCATTATATTTTTATAGTAGATCATTATCCCTATATTTTATTTGTTTAGTTTTTATTTCTAACTTTATTTTGTGTGTTCTACCCCATCGTCAGTGTAATCTTTTATTATGGATTTTCACTTTTAGTCACTATATGCTTCTTTTACAATTCTCATTTTGTATTCTGTATCTGTATCCAGTATTTCCAATAGCTGAAGTCCTTGAGACCCTAATTTCTTATTTCTGCTGATTTTTACTCATGATGACTTGTTTGCTGATGTGGTTTGTAATTTTGGATTGTGAAATCATATTTGTCCGACCTTTATCTGTTAATTTCTTGTTTTGGAGTTTTTAAAACCAGAGACAGAATTTTAATCTTAACTGCATGACGTTAAGCCTGCAGTTATAAATCTCAGGAGATATTTTTATTTTTAAGCACATTGAGTCTGGGTCAAGACTGACAAATCTTGTTTCTCCTTTCTACTGTTGGGTAGACAGCTTTTTTGCAGCCTTCTGTTAAGCTGAATGTGAGGATTTAATTTTTAATTTTTAACTTTAGAGACAGGGTCTCCCTTTGTCACCCAGGCTGGAGTGGCTCACTGCTGCCTCAACCTGTTGGTCTCAAGCAATCTTTTTGCCTCAGTCTCATGAGTAGTTGGGACTATAGCCACACCCCACCATGCCTGGCTAATTTAAAAAAAAAGTTTTTTGTTTTTTTTTTGTAGAGATGGGACCTCACTATGTTGCCCTGGCTGGTCTCAAGTTCCTGGGCTCAAGCAGTGCTGCCTCAGCTTTCCAAAGTGCTGATATTGCAGGTGTGAGCCACTGCACTTAGATGGGTGTGAACACTTTATGTGGGGCTTCAATTCCAAATCCCTACCTTATGCAAGTTCACTGCCTTGTTTCCTGTCCCCAAGTAGCCATTAAAATCCAAGACTTTAGATAATGGAAATTGGCAATTGCTTTGAGGCCAACTGCTCCTTCAGTGTCAGTCTATAACTGTGGGTTACAGCTTGCTTGTTAGTCTTTGCCCTTGGGATTTTCCTTTACTTTTTTTTTTTAAATGAACTCAACTATGCATGAGAAAGGATTGATGTTATATAGTATTCAATTTATCTAGGTATCTTGTAGGAGAATTTTTGAAAATATCTAGGCTGCCATTCCTTTAAATTTCACATTCTACCTATTTTTATTCCAGAATTTTCTCCATATCTTATTCTGAAGCAATAATACATAATAAAAACTAGTGTTTACTGAATGCCTTTTATATGTCAAGTGCTTTTTCTGTGATCTCATTTTGTTGTCATCTTTCCTGTAACACTGATCACTCTGTATAATTAGGACCCTATCTGTTACTCTCTGTTTCTACCCCTGTGTATTTCCTGTATAGCAGCCATCATGACATATAATTATTTCTTTTTCTGCTTTCTTATCCTTGTGTTCCACTATAATGTAAGTTCCATGAGGATAGGGACCATGTCTATCTCGTTCTTAGTTCTTAATTGAATTTCTAACATCTATGTGAGCAGCTCCTAGTGAGATTTTGATAAGTATTTGCCATATAGATGAACATAATCTGTGATGTAGGTAATATTGTACCTATTTTCACATGAGAACCTGGGCCTAGAGAGGTGAAGTGACTTGTCCAAGGTTACAGAAGTAGTCAGTGACAACTGGGAAAAGATCAGATGCCCAAGTCCATCCCCCCTGCCATTTGAGAAGCTATTTCTTTCATTAGTTTCTGGAAAGCCAAGGTGAATAGTTATATTATGAAAGTGGCTTGATTAAATGATAATGGAAATAAATTGCTCACATCATTAATTTCAAATTATATTTAGTTCTAATACTGTTAGATGATTTATATTATATAGAATTAAGGAGATTTCATAGAGTCAGCACATCAGGGTAAAATGTCCAAGACCTGAATATGAGGGAGCCAAGATGGCCGAATAGGAACAGCTCCGGTCTACAGCTCCCAGCGTGAGTGACGCAGAAGACGGGTGATTTCTGCATTTCCATCTGAGGTACCAGGTTTACCTCAATAGGGAGTGCCAGACAGTGGGCACAGGACAGTGGTGCAGCGCACCGTGGGCGAGCCAAAGCAGGGTGAGGCATTGCCTCACTCAGGAAGTGCAAGGGGTCAGGGAGTTCCCTTTCCTAGTCAAAGAAAGAGGTGACAGACGGCACCTGGAAAATCGGGTCACTCCCACCCCAATACTGCGCTTTTCCTACGGGCTTAAAAAACGGCACACCAGGAGATTATATCCCCCACATGGCTCAGAGGGTCCTACGCCCACGGAGTCTCGCTGATTGCTAGCACAGCAGTCTGAGATCAAACTGCAAGGCAGCAGTGAGGCTGGGGGAGGGGCACCCGCCATTGCCCAGGCTTGCTTAGGTAAACAAAGCAGCTGGAAACTCAAACTGGGTGGAGCCCACCACAGCTCAAGGAGGCCTGCCTGCCTCTGTAGGCTCCACCTCTGGGGGCAGGGCACAGACAAACAAAAAGACAGCAGTAACCTCTGCAGACTTAAATGTACCTGTCTGACAGCCTTGAAGAGAACAGTGGTTCTCCCAGCACCCAGCTTGAGATCTGAGAATGGGCAGACTGCCTCCTCAAGTGGGTCCCTGACCCCTGACCCCTGAGCAGCCTAACTGGGAGGCACCCCCCAGTAGGGGCAGACTGACACCTCACACGGCCAGGTACTCCTCTGAGACAAAACTTCCAGAGGAACCATCAGACAGCAGCATTTGCAGTTCATGAAAATCCACTGTTCTGCAGCCACCGCTGCTGGTACCCAGGCAAACAGGGTCTGGAGTGGACTTCTAGCAAACTCCAACAGACCTGCAGCTGAGGGTCCTGTCTGGTAGAAGGAAAACTAACAAACAGAAAGGACATCCACACCAAAAACCCCTCTATACGTCACCATCATCAAAGACCAAAAGTAGATAAAACCACAAAGATGGGGAAAAAACAGCAGAAAAACTGGAAACTCTAAAAAGCAGAGCGCCTCTCCTCCTCCAAAGGAATGCAGCTTCTCACCAGCAATGGAACAAAGCTGGACAGAGAATGACTTTGACGAGTTGAGAGAAGAAGGCTTCAGACGATCAAACTACTCCGAGCTACAGGAGGAAATTCAAACCAAATGCAAAGAAGTTGAAAACTTGGAAAAAAAATTTAGATAAATGTATAACTAGAATAACCAATACGGAGAAGTGCTTAAAGGAGCTGATGGAGCTGAAAGCAAAGGCTCGAGAACTACGTGAAGAATGCAAAAGCCTCAGGAGCCGATGCGATCAACTGGAAGAAAGGATATCAGTGATGGAAGATGAAATGAATGAAATGAAGCGAGAAGGGAAGTTTAGAGAAAAAAGAATAAAAAGAAACAAAGCCTCCAAGAAATATGGGACTATGTGAAAAGACCAAATCTACATCTGATTGGTATACCTGAAAGTGACAGGGAGAATGGAACCAAGTTGGAAAACACTCTGCAGGATATTATCCAGCAGAACTTCCCCAATCTAGCAAGGCAGGCCAACATTCAAATTCAGGAAATACAGAGAACGCCACAAAGATACTCCTCAAGAAGAGCAACTCCAAGACACAGAATTGTCAGATTCACCAAAGTTGAAATGAAGGAAAAAATGTTAAGGGCAGCCAGAGAGAAAGGTCGAGTTACCCACAAAGGGAAGCCCATCAGACTAACAGCGGATCTCTCGGCAGAAACTCTACAAGCCAGAAGAGAATGGGGACCAATATTCAACATTCTTAAAGAAAAGAATTTTCAACCTGGAATTTCATATCCAGCCAAACTAACCTTCTAAGTGAAGGAGAAATAAAATACTTTACAGACAAGCAAGTGCTGAGAGATTTTGTCACCACCAGGCCTGCCCTATAAGAGCTCCTGAAGGAAGCACTAAACATGGGAAGGAATAACCGGTACCAGCCACTGCAAAATCATGCCAAATTGTAAAGACCATTGAGGCTAGGAAGAAACTGCATCAACTAACGAGCAAAATAACCAGCTAACATCATAATGACAGGCTCAAATTCAAACATAACAATATTAACTTTAAATGTAAATGGACTAAATGCTCCAATTAAAAGACACAGACTGGCAAATTGGATAAAGAGTCAAGACCCATCAGTGTGCTGTATTCAGGAAACCCATCTCACATGCAGAGACACACATAGGCTCAAAATAAAAGGATGGAGGAAGATCTACCAAGCAAATGGAAAACAAAAAAAGGCAGGGGTTGCAATCCTAGTCTCTGATAAAACAGACTTTAAACCAACAAAGATCAAAAGAGACAAAGAAGGCCATTACATAATGGTAAAGGGATCAATTCAACAAGAAGAGCTAACTATCCTAAATATATATGCACCCAATACAGGAGCACCCAGATTCATAAAGCAAGTCCTTAGTGACCCACAAAGAGACTTAGACTCCCACACAATAATAATGGGAGACTTTAACACCCCACTGTCAACATTGGAAAGATCAACGAGACAGAAAGTTAACAAGGATACCCAGGAATTGAACTCAGCTCTGCACCAAGCGGACCTAATAGACATCTACAGAACTCTCCACCCCAAATCAACAGAATATACATTTTTTTTCAGCACCACACCACACCTATTCCAAAATTGACCACATAGTTGGAAGTAAAGCTCTCCTCAGCAAATGTAAAAGATCAGAAATTATAACAAACTGTGTCTCAGACCACAGTGCAAACAAACTAGAACTCAGGATTAAGAAACTCACTCAAAACTGCTCAACTATGTGGAAACTGAACAACCTGCTCCTGAATGACTACTGGGTACATAATGAAATGAAGGCAGAAATAAAGATGTTCTTTGAAACCAACAAGAACAAAGACACAACATACCAGAATCTCTGGGACACATTCAAAGCAGTGTGTAGAGAGAAATTTATACCACTAAATGCCCACAAGAGAAAGCAGGAAAGATCCAAAATTGACACCCTAACATCACAATTAAAAGAACTAGAAAAGCAAGAGCAAACACATTCAAAAGCTAGCAGAAGGCAAGAAATAATTAAAATCAGAGCAGAACTGAAGGAAGTAGAGACACAAAAAACCCTTCAAAAAATTAATGAATCCAGGAGCTGGTTTTTTGAAAGGATTAGAAAAATTGATAGACCGCTAGCAAGACTAATAAAGAAGAAAAGAGAGAAGAATCAAGTAGACGTAATAAAAAATGATAAAGGGGATATCACCACTGATCCCACAGAAATACAAACTACCATCAGAGAATACTGCAAACACCTCTATGCAAAAAAACTAGAAAATCTAGAAGAAATGGATAAATTCCTTGACACATACACCCTCCCATGACTAAACCAGGAAGAAGTTGACTCTCTGAATAGGCCAATAACAGGCTCTGAAATTGTGGCAATAATCAATAGCTTACCAACAAAAAAGAGTCCAGGACCAGATGGATTCACAGCCAGATTCTACCAGAGGTACATGGAGGAACTGGTACCATTCCTTTTGAAACTATTCCAATCAATAGAAAAAGAGGGAATCCTCCCTAACTCATTTTATGAGGCTAGCATCATCCTGATACCAAAGTCTGGCAGAGACACAACCAAAAAAGAGAATTTTAGACCAATATCCTTGATGAACATCGATGCAAAAATCCTCAATAAAATACTGGCAAACCGAATCCAGCAGCACATCAAAAAGCTTATCCACCATGGTCAAGTGGGCTTCATCCCTGGAATGCAAGGCTGGTTCAATATATGCAAATCAATAAATGTAATCCAGCATATAAACAGAACCAAAGACAAAAACCACATGATTATCTCAATAGATGCAGAAAAGGCCTTTGATAAAATTCAGCAACGCTTCATGCTAAAAACTCTCAATAAATTAGGTGTTGATGGGACGTATCTCAAAATAATAAGAGCTATCTATGATGAACCCACAGCCAATATCATACTGAATGGGCAAAAACTGGAAGCATTCCCTTTGAAACCTGGTACAAGACAGGGATGCCCTCTCTCACCACTCCTATTCAACATAGTGTTGGAAGTTCTGGCCAGGGCAATCAGGCAGGAGAAGGAAATAAAGGGTATTCAATTAGGAAAAGAGGAAGTCAAATTGTTCCTGTTTGCAGACTACATGATTGTATATCTAGAAAACCCCATTGTCTCAGCCCACAATCTCCTCAAGGTGATAAGCAACTTCAGCAAATTCTCAGGATACAAAATCAATGCACAAAGATCACAAGCATTCTTATACACCAATAACTGACAAACAGAGAGCCAAATCATGAGAGAACTCCCATTCACAATTGCTTCAAAGAGAATAAAATACCTAGGAATCCAACTTACAAGGGACATGAAGGACCTCTTCAAGGACAACTACAAACCACTGCTCAATGAAATAAAAGAGGATACAAACAAATGGAAGAACATTCCATGCTCATGGGTAGGAAGAATCAATATCATGAAAATGGCCATACTGCCCAAGGTAATTTATAGATTCAATGCCATCCCCATCAAGCTACCAATGACTTTCTTCACAGAATTGGAAAAAACTACTTTAAAGTTCATATGGAACCAAAAAAGAGCCCGCATCACCAAGTCAATCCTAAGCCAAAAGAACAAAGCTGGAGGCATCATGCTACCTGACTTCAAACTATCCTACAAGGCTACAGTAACCGAAACAGCATGGTACTGGTACCAAAACAGAGATATCGATCAATGGAACAGAACAGAGCCCTCAGAAATAATGCCGCGTATCTACCACTATCTGATCTTTGAGAAACCTGACAAAAACAAGCAATGGGGAAAGGATTCCCTATTTAATAAATGGTGCTGGGAAAACTGGCTTGCCATATGTAGAAAGCTGAAACTGGATCCCTTCCTTACACCTTATACAAAAATTAATTCAAGATGGATTAAAGACTTAAATGTTAGACCTAAAACCATAAAAACCCTAGAAGAAAACCTAGACATTACCATTCAGGACAGAGGCATGGGCAAGGACTTCATGTCTAAAACACCAAAAGCAATGGCAACAAAAGCCAAAATTGACAAATGGGATCTAATTCAACTAAAGAGCTTCTGCACAGCAAAAGAAACTACCATCAGAGTGAACAGGCAACCTATAGAATGGGAGAAAATTTTTGCAAACTACTCATCTGACAAAGGGCTAATATCCAGAATCTACAATGAACTCAAACAAGTTTACAAGAAAAAAACAAACAACCCCATCAAAAAGTGGGCAAAGGACATGAACAGACATTTCTCAAAAGAAGACTTTTACGCAGACAAAAAACACATGAAAAAATGCTCACCATCACTGGCCATCAGAGAAATGCAAATCCAAACCACAATGAGATACCATCTCACACCAGTTAGAATGGCAATCTTTAAAAAGGCAGGAAACAACAGGTGCTGGAGAGGATGTGGAGAAATAGGAACACTTTGACACTGTTGGTGGGACTGTAAACTAGTTCAACCATTGTGGAAGTCAGTGTGGCGATTCCTCAGGGATCTAGAATTAGAAATACCATTTGACCCAGCCATCCCATTACTGGGTTTATACCCAAAGGACTATAAATCATGCTGCTATAAAGACACATGCACACGTATGTTTATTGCGGCACTATTCACAATAGCAAAGACTTGGGACCAACCCAAATGTCCAACAATGATAGACTGGATTAAGAAAATGTGGCACATATACACCATGGAATACTATGCAGCCATAAAAAAGGATGAGTTCATGTCCTTTGTAGGGACATGGATGAAATTGGAAATCATCATTCTCAGTAAACTATCGCAAGGACAAATAACCAGACATCGCGTGTTCTCACTCATAGGTGGGAATTGAACAATGAGAACACATGGACACAGGAAGGGAAACATCACATTCTGGGGACTGTTGTGGGGTGGCGGGGTGGGGGAGGGATAGCATTAGGAGATATACCTAATGCTAAATGACGAGTTAATGGGTGCAGCACACCAGCATGGCACATGTATACATATGTAAAACTAAGCTGCATATTGTGCACATGTACCCTAAAACTTGAAGTATAATAATAATAAAATAAAATAAAATAAAAGAATAACTGTCAATATGAAAACTGTCAATAAGAAAAGTTTGTTTGCTTATTCAATCATGAAAGCATTTAATGTGATGACATGTTTTATAATACCTCATATGCTATACTCTCATTATTGTTATTTCCCAGCTATTCTGTTATTCCCAGCTATTCAGGTAAAGTTTTGATATTTTCTTGGATATAAAAGTTATTTATAAAATAATTTATTATACCTTTTTTCTTGTAAGAAATAAAGATTGTTGGTTTATGTTTTATTTTAATCTCCATGTTTATTATATTGTGATCACATATTATTAAAATTTATTAAGGTTGTAGTTATGGATATATATTTTTTAGGGTAAAGGAGTAGTTGGATATGTAAATTAAATTGCTTTTATTATATTATTCATGTTCTTCATGTTTTCTTTACCTTTTTTAACCTAATTAAAAGATTTGGAACTGAAAGAGGAAAAACAAAAACAAAAACAAAAACAACAACAACAAAAAAAATGTCCAAGACCAATTGATTTTACTTTGTGCCAATTTTTGGCCTATTTCTGAAAAGTAGATTTCTTGTTTATTTTGGAAACTGTATTTTTTTTTTAATGAACTTAGCTATGCATTAGGAAGTTCTCACCCCAGCCAAGAGAAATATTGAAAATTGTTTCTCTTAAATGCAAATCGAAACCACAATGAGATACCATCTCACACCAGTTAGAATGGCAATCATTAAAAAGTCAGGAAACAACAGGTGCTGGAGAGGATGTGGAGAAATAGGAACACTTTGACACTGTTGGTGGGACTGTAAACTAGTTCAACCATTGTGGAAGTCAGTGTGGCGATTCCTCAGGGATCTAGAACTGGAAATACCATTTGACCCAGCCATCCCATTACTGGGTATATATCCAAAGGACTATAAATCATGCTGCTATAAAGACACATGCACATGTATGTTTATTGTGGCATTATTCACAATAGCAAAGACTTGGAACCAACCCAAATGTCCAACAATGATAGACTGGATTAAGAAAATGTGGCACATATACACCATGGAATACTATGCAGCCATAAAAAAGGATGAGTTCATGTCCTTTGTAGGGACATGGTTGAAATTGGAAATCATCATTCTCAGTAAACTATCGCAAGAACAAAAAACCAAACACCGCATATTCTCACTCATAGGTGGGAATTGAACAATGAGATCACATGGACACAGGAAGGGGAATATTACACTCTGGGGACTGTTGTGGGGTGGCGGGAGGGGGGAGGGATAGCATCGGGAGATATACCTAATGCTAGATGACGAGTTAGTGGGTGCAGTGCACCAGCATGGCACATGTATACATATGTAACTAACCTGCACAATGTGCACATGTACCCTAAAACTTAAAGTATAATAAAAAAAAAAAAGAAAATTGTTTCTCTTTCTTTCTTCCCTCCTCAGCTCTCCTTATTCCCTAATATAAAAGAGAAGGTTGACAGAACTATTGTTTTTACTGAGCATATTATAAAAATCAGTTTATTATTTAAAAAAACACAAAAATTAGTAAGTTCAAAATGTCATATCCTTAAAAGTCTGTAAGGATTAAAAATATATAAAATGGGCTTGCTTTGAATAATCTTCAGACTATATTTTTATTTAATTTTAATTTTTAAATTATTATTTTTAATTAATTAATTTTTAAGAGACAGGGTAATGCTCTGTTGCCCAGGCTGGGGTGCAGGGGCATGTAGCCTTCAACTACTGGGTCAAGCGATTGTTTTGCCTCAGCTCCCCAAGTAGTTGGGACTGCAGGAGTGAGCCACCCCTCTTGGCTAATTTCAAATTTTTTTTGTAGGGATGGGGTCTCACTATGTTGCCCAGACTGGTCTTGAACTTCTGGACTCAAACAATCCTCCCACCTTAGCCTCCCAAAGTGTGGGGATGACAGGTGTGAGCCACCATGCCTGGCCAAGACTATATTTTTAAACTGAAGAATATTTTCTGCAATAGAGACTGAATGATCAAACTGGTGATCAAAGTCAGGTGAAGATTGCAAAGAATATCCATAGCCTGGAGAAAGTATGCATCAGAGATGAGATTCTCACAATAGAAGAGTAGATGTGCACTGAGTAGAAAGGCCATTTTGGATCTTTTCACAATAAATCTGTCTGTGAGAAATTGAAGGTCGCCCTGCTACAGTTCAGTCTTAGATGGACGTTGAAATAAATGCATATATGTGCTCTCTGAGTATAATGACTTTGACTTATAGTACCTTTTTCAGCTTGATGCTATGAAGAAAAATGACTCCCATTGTTTGAAAGAGTAGTTTTCTGTAGAGTCTGGAAAATGTTCTTATACCTTTAACGGTAGTTTAAAAAATGTTGTCTACAGGGTTCTATATTGTACAGCTGGAGGCAAAATCTGAGTCCATTTCACAGAAAACATGGAGCCTTGATCATTAGATTAGTTCCCACGGTGGTATGCACAATGAACAGCTTTTCAATCATAAAGAGTCAAGGTGTGGGTTTGAGTATGTTAAGTAAATCAATGCTATTTTAACTGAAAAATGGAATACAAAATATTTTGAAGATTTTTTTTTAATACATAAGGACTTGTAATGCTAGTATTTAGGGGAAATAACATTTCAAAAATAGGATGGTTTTGAGGGAATTACCTCTTATCCATCTTTTAATCTTCCCATTGCCACCACACCTAGTCAACCCTAGATAAAGGTCTCTCTCTCTTTTTTTTTTTTTTTTTTTTGAGACGGAGTCTTGTTCTGTCGCCCAGGCTGGAGTGCAGTGGCACCATCTCGGCTCACTGCCAGCTCCGCTTCCTGGGTTCACGCCATTCTCCTGCCTCAGCCTCCCAAGTAGCTGGGACTACAGGCACCCGCCACCAGGCCCGGCTAATTTTTTGTATTTTTAGTAGAGATGGGGTTTCACCGTGTTAGCCAGGATGGTCTCGATCTCCTGACCTTGTGATCCGCCCACCTTGGCCTCCCAAAGTGCTGGGATTACAGGCGTGAGCCACCGCGCCCGGCCAGATAAAGGTCTTTGGAGACACCCATCCAAAGGATCACAGACAAGCCTCATTTGAACACGATTCAACAAGTAACTCCCTATCACACCAGTCAGCTCATGCCGGTTTTGACAGCTGAGGCAGAATTTCTTCTTCTCTTGAGTGAATGTGTGCTTTTCTCTAACTTCCTCATGCTAGGTCTGTTCTCTGAAGCTTCACAGAACAAATCTGATCCATTTTTTTTTTCATGTCAGAAAGCCTTTTAGACATTTGAAGGCAAATACAATGACGCAAAATTTTAATGATGGTATGGCAGGCCCCATGCTATAAAGTCATATTCTGACTTCTCCCTTTTAGGACACATTGGGTCTTACAGCAACCCCACCCCTACTTCTGAGATGGAGAGAGAATATTCATACAACATAAATTTTGTGTGAATTTTAGGGGGTTTCTACATTCCCTAAGAACCCTCCTCTGCTCCCAGGTTAGGACTTCTGCTCCAAAATCAATTTCACAACATGACACTCCTTCCAAGACTGGAGAAAGAATTTTCTCATGTGTGGACAAGGAATACTGTGAATTCTTGATCTTGATCTGAGTGACTATCAATGTTGAAAATAATATGAATGTTGATCATAATAGAGCAGGTAGTGAAACTGCCTTTGCAGAGATTATGACAGTGGGAGAAGTCTAGCATGACTGACTCTATCTTGCTTCTGCCCTCACAGGCTGGTTCTCCTTGCTCATTCTGGGGTGTAGGCCAAGCTAACCATGGGAGGAAATTAGTTTGTAGTTTAACTTTGAAGCAGGGATGATAATATTCCCTCTCTAAAACAGACCCCCTCCTTGCTTGGGGTCTGAAGCTGCCTTTCTAAGACTAATGAAAGGCCACAAGATTATGGGAGGGGCCTGAATTCTGCTATAATGTAGTTGTAGTTTTGAAGAATCCCTTATAGCTCAGGGGTCATGTGGCCAGAGGTGACAAGATTTGTGAATTTCCCAATTGCTCCTATAAATAACATCACTGTTGCGGAACCCGAGATTGGTCTTTTGAGGTGTTTTTCAGACTTTTGCATTCTGGCAACCGACTGACTCCACCAGGACCTGTGACTCATGAATCAATTGGCCTTGTGCCTCCACCCAGAGGCTGACTGAGTGCGTGAGGACTGTTTTCCACCTTCCTATGATATCATTCCCAGCCAATCGGCAGCACCCATCTCTGAACCCCTGCCTGCCAAATTATCCATAAAAACCTTAGCCTCTGAATTCTTAGGCAGTCTGATTTGAGTAGGAAGCCCCATCCTTCTCCTTGGCTCTGTGATTATTAAACTCTTTCTTTGCTGCAAAACCCTGCTATTCTCAGTGCATTGGCTTTTCTGGGCAGCTGGCAAAATGAACCCATTGGGGGATTACAGTAGTGTCTGTGGAATAGTAAAATATTCAAAGAGAGAGATTTTGTTAAGTGAGTAGACCCTGGAGGTTGGAAAGTGGTTGGAACTGGAGGCTTGGGAGTCATCAACATAGAGGCAGAAATTGAATTTAATTAATACAACAAATATGTATAGAGCACCTGCACGAACTGAGTGTTCTGTTAAGCATAGGGATAAAATTATGAGCATTAGCATGTGTTACTACCTTTAGAGTTTGTATCTACTTGTTGGAGCCTCAGGGAGAACAGGTAGATAGAGTAAAGGAGATACCCTGATAGAAATAATTAAAAGGATATGTTTATTTATGTAAATATGACTTTCTAATTTTTTAGGAATTGAATTGAAATTCTGTCATTTTACTGAAATTCAAAAATAGTAAAATGTCACATCTAAATTTTTGGGGGGGCTATTAAAAATGGCATTTAAATTTATACATGAACTGAAAAATGAAGCAAGTTCTGTCATAGTTTGACAGGTATAATCACTTATCCTGTAATGCAAACAGTAACCTAATAGCAAGATGCTAATATTGCTTTGGTGCAGGTGTTGCTAATTAGCTATTGGATTAGCCTGTATCATATTCTTTTCTCTCACCTATGCATAATATTTGTGCAAAATGCAAATGGAAGCTCTAAGCTGAAATGTGTAAGTGCCAACCTTAAACACTGGTTTGACTTTGAAACAATGAGAATTTTGAACTGGGCAGTGATTATGACTTAGTTGTAGTTTCGGGCTCAGTTAGATTCCTGGTTCTCCTCCCGACAGTGATGGTTTACTCTCAAAGAGGAAGTTAAACTCGTTTGGGGTCTGGCCAAGTGACTAGGTGAGAAGAAAGCCAGAAGTCATTTCTTTTTTTTTAATTTTAAAATTTTTAATTTTTTGTGGGTACATAGTAGATGTATATATTTATGAGGTACATGAGATATTTTGATACAGGCATATAATGTGTAATAATCACATCAGGGTAAATGGGTTGTCACCTCAAGCATTTATTCTTTGTGTCACAGACAATCCAAATGTACTACTTTAGTTAATTAAAAATGTACAATTGAATTGTTATTGACAATGGCCACCTTGTTGTGTCAGCAAATGCTAAGTCTTATTCATTCTAACTATTTTTTGTACCCATTAATCATCCCCACTTCCCTGCTCCCTGCCCTTGCCACCTTTGGTAACCATCATTCTACTCTCTATCTCCATGATTTCAACTGTTTGGATTTTTCACTCCCACAAACAAGTAAGAACAAGTAAAGTTTGTCTTTCTGTCCCTGGCTTATTTTACTTAACTTAATGACCTCCAGTTCCATTCATGTTGTTGCAAATGACAGAATCTCATTCTTCCTTATGGCTGCATAGCACTCCATTTTATATATGCACCACATTTTCCTTATCCATTCATCTGTTGATAGACTCTTAGGTTGCTTCCAAATCTTGGCTATTGTGAACAGTGCTGCAATATATATGGTAGTGCAGATATCTCTTTGATATACTAATTTCCTTTCCGTTGAGTATATGCCTAGCAGTGGGATCACTGGATCATATGGTAGCTCTATTTTTAGTTTTTTGAGGAACCTCCAAAGTGTTCTCCACAGTGGTTGTACTAATTTACATTCCTATTGACAGTGTACGAGGGTTCCCTTTTCTCCACATCCTTGCCAGCATTTGTTATTGCCTGTCTTTTGGATATAAGCCATTTTAACTGGGATGAGGTGATATCTTATTGTAGTTTTGATTTGCATTTCTCTGATGATCAATTATGTTGAACACCTTTTCATATACTTATTTGCCATTTGTATGTCTTCTTTTGAGAAATGGCTATTCAGATCTTTTGCCCATTTTTATTTGGATTAATAGATTTTTTCCTATAGAGTTGCTTGAGCTCCTTATATATTCTGCTTATCACTCCCTTGTCAGATGGGAATATTTTCTCCCATTCTGTGGGTTGTCTGCTCACTTTGTTGATTGTATCCTTTGCTGTGAAGATTTTTTAACTTGATGTGATCCCATTTGTCCATTTTTGCTTTGGTTGTCTGTGCTTTGGGGGTATTATGCAAGAAATCTTTGCCCAGTCCAACGTCCCGGAGAGTTTCCTCAATGTTTTCTTTTAGTACTTTTACAATTTGAGAACTTAGATTTAAGTCTTTAATCCATTTTGATTTTTGTATATGATGAAAGATAGGGGTCTAGTTTCATTCTTCTGCATATGGATATCCAATTTTCCCAGCACCATTTACTGAAGAGACTGTCCTTTCTCCAGTGTATGTTCTTGGCATCTTTGTTGAAAATGAGTTCACTGTAGATGTATGGATTTGTTTCTGGGTTCTCTATTCTGTTTATTGGTCTATGTGTTTGTTTTTATGCCAGTACCATGCTGTTTTAGTTACTATTGCTCTGCAGTATAATTTGAAGTCAGGTAATGTGATTCCTCCAGTTTTGTTCTTTTTGCTTAGGATAGCTTTGGCTATTCTGGGTCCTTTGTGGTTTCATATACATTTTTGGATTGTTTTTCTATTTCTATGAAGAATGTGATTGGTATTTTGATAGGGATTGCATTGAATCTGTAGATGTCTTTGGATAGTATGGACATTTTAACAATATTGATTCTTCCGATCCATGAACATGGAATATCTTTCCATTTTTTGTGTGTGTCTTCTTCAATTTCTTTCAGCAGTGTCTTACAGTTTTAATTACAGAGATCTTTCACTTCTTTGGTTAAGTTAATTTCTAAGTATTTAATTGGAAGTAATTTCTTATTTACTCTTCCTATTTCTAGTGGTTTGATTGCTCTGGAAGAAAGAGCAGCAATTACTAGACAAGTAGGGATTGTTTGTTTTTCACTTAGCAAATATTTACTGAATACCTCCCATGTGACAGCACTTAGTATGTAGTAGGAATGATATAAATATTTTTTGAGTGAAAATTATCACTGGAACGTTACAGAGAGAATTCCATAAATAATTTGTAGAACTTTGCTTTACCTATAGTGAGAAAATTTTTCTGTTTGTGTGATTGAAGTGTGGAAGAGGTAGTCATAATACTCATCAAAGAGCAAATATTAGTTTTGGATAATGAGATGAGTCTCCTGGAACAAGACAGTGGAAAGCCCAATCATCAGGGAGGGAAGCTACATCTCGATGATACAGTCAGAAGATGGTGGAACCGTGTGGAGCAGAGGCCCTTGCTGACTCCTGCAGGACATGTAGCATGAGTAAGAAATAGACTCTTGTGGTAAGAGGATTTGAGAGTTTTTTTCCTATTTAATAGAAGGTTTGGGGGTTGCTTTTTAGCATCACATTACCTCATCTATCCTAATGCAAGAACTATTATGTGCTTTTGATTCTCGAAAATTTTTGTTGTTGTAGTTGTTTTTGCAGCATTGTTTATTGTAATGAGACTGTGGACAATTAAATAATCATTGTTCTCAGGTGGCTTAAATTATGGTATCCCATATCATAGAATATCAGGAAGCCATTTAAAAGAATGTACTAATATGGAATTATCCCTAAGATATGTTGTTATAAGAAGAAAAAAGATACAGAATAGTGTTTACAGCTTTGATTAGTATTAAAAAGACAGTAACTATCTATACACATATATATGCACACAGGTACTCATGAAAAAATATAGTATTTTTATTATAAAATATACATAACATAAAACTTATCATTTTAACCATTAAGAGTACATTTCTGTGGCATTAAGTACATTCACATTGTTGTGCAACCATCAGCACCATCCATCTCCAAAGTTTTTTCATCTTCTCAAGTGGAAACTCTGTACCCATTAAAAACTCCTTATTCCCACTTTGCCCAGCCCCTGGAAACCACCATTCTACTTTCTATCTCTATGAATTTGAGCACTCTAAGATGCTCATTTAAATGCAGTCATATAGTATTTGTTCTTTTGTGATGGCTTATTTCACTTAGTATAATGTCTTCAAGGTTCATCTGTATTGTAGCATGTGTCAGAATTTCCTTCCTTTTTAAGGCTGAATAAAATTTCTATTATATGTATATATGACATTTTGTTTATAAATTTATTTGTTGATGGACATTGGGTTGTTTCCACCTTTTGGCTGCTATGAACATAGATGCACAAATATCTGTTAGAATACCCGCTTTCAATTCTTTTGGTTTTATACCCAGAAGTGGAATTGCTGGATGATATGATAATTCTATATTTACTTTTTTGAGGAATCTCCATAATGCTCTCCATAGCTGCTGCACTATTTTATGTTCCCCACGAACAATGCACAAGTGTTCCAATTTTTCCACATCTTTACTAACACTTGTTACTTTCTGTTTTGTTAATTTTTTATAAATATTTTTCAGAGGTCTGGTTTTGCTGCATTGCCCAGGCTGAACTGCAGCTCCTGAGCTCAAGGAATCCTCCCACCTCAGCCCCCTGAGTAGCTGGGACTATAGGTACACCACTATGATGGGCACTTTCTGTTTTTTTTTTTTTTTTCTGATGGTCATTCTAATGGGTGTGAAGTGGTATCTCACTGTGGTTTTGATGTGTATTGATTATAGTCTACAGGATTAAAAGTGTATAAATGATGATAGGAAATCTCCCTAGAGTATTTTAGTCAGCTATGGGATGATACATTAATTTAGTTTTATTCTAAATTATTTTTTTCAACAAAAAACCAGAAAAGTACTTAGAATTCAAAATATTGCTTTTCCTTCTTCACCTTCTGCAGATGCAGAATAATGGCCAATATTTCAATAATTTTCATTTGCGACTTTGTTCAGTGAAGTTTCTCAGGTTTCCCTTAACATTTGAGTGCTATCTTCATGCAGTGGTTAAGAGTATAATTTCTAGAGCCAAGCTATTTGAGTTCAAAGCTTGGCCCTGACACTTACTAGCTGTTTGACCTTGGACAAGTAACTTACTCTTTCTATGCCTCAGTTTCCTCTTCTTTAAAATGGGGATAATATTGGTACCTACCTCAGAGGGGGTGTTGTGATGATTACATAAGTTAATATATGTCAATCACTTGGAACAATTCCTGAGACATAGTAAACAATAAATGTACTAGTTGTTATTATAGTTAAATTAGAATACCATGAATCATTTGGTAACAGTACATCATTTATATGTACTTAGAAACTGTGTTGTCTTACCTGGATCTCAAGCAAGGGAGTAAAATGGTTTTTCATTATGGCTCTTGGAGAAGAGCCCATGGCTTTGAATAGAAGGGTTTATCTGGTCTGTGTTGGTCAATAAAAAGTAGTTGAAAGTCACCTTCAGGACTTCTCTTAAAAGTAACTAATCTTTTGACACCCCGGGGCCTTGAATCAATGGTTGCAGATCAATATTTTCTATATTCAGTTATTGTTTCCTTTCACCTTATACACTATGGGCTGAAAATCAACACACTGTAGCCTGAGAAAATCAATGGAGTACATTTGTGGTTTAGAGAACACTGGATAGGAGACATAAGTCCTTTTGGAAAACACATACAAAGGAAATTATGTAGACACTTTCTCAGAGGAATCCTAAAGTAATTACTGGTTGAATTTGTGATCCGAGAGGTTTCTCCTCAATTACACTGAGAGCACACATCAATCACTTACCTTGCAGTAAACAGGCTATCTCAAACATTCAAATAAAGACACCAAGGTTGTCCCTGTTAGAGTAATTGGCTCCAGTGGGCCAAAACTCAGAATTTACAAACTGCTTCTCATTTCTGGCCCATTTGGCCTTGATTTTCAGGGATGGTTACTACTTACCGCTTTTAAAAGAATCTGATTTCAGCAGTCTCAAGGAAACATGTCTGAATGGTTTTGAGCTTTCTGTTTTAGGGGAACCAGATGAATTACTATCAGAAGCTAATTCACATTGTGAGTTATGTTTCTTTACCAACATGCTCTCACTCTTGGGGAATTAAAAAAGCACTGCCTTGGTTTTAAAGTCAAGACCTCAGGAGTGCTGGTTGGCCCTTATACTGGGGAGTTAGTTCTGCAATAGCCTTCAAGAAATAAACACACTTCTGTGGTTTGGATGGGGAGCAGAATTTAATGCTGTGTTTTCTGAATTCCCAAATGCTGTTTACCAGGTGAAGATTATGTCAAGACAGATGTGCTATAAGATTTTCTTAAGTGAATGATCATTCCTTTCACCTAGGAGAAACCTGGAGGGGCAGAATTTGTATCTGCATTTTATGAATGTACTAGAATATTGAAGATGGGTTGCTTATATTGCTATTTGCAAATCAGGTTCACACAGTTGTTTAATCTTAAACAATTAAGGCTCAGGTTAAGACTTATCCCTACTTCACTGTGTAGTTATAGCTAGCATCTGAGCTAGCTCAGGCTATGCCACATTCTAGCCATGATATTGGGCAACTCATTCATTCAGTCATTTATTCATTGTGGATATACTATATTTTGAGTGGCAAGTAGCGGCTGGAAATACAGCAGTGAACAAAAAGAAAATCTTGTTCTTTATGTATCTTATAACCTCGTTGGAAACAGTGGGATTTTCCAAATCTGAACCAAGGCAGTTGAGCTGCTCTAACAAAATATCACAGCCTGGGTAGCTTAAACAACAGAAATTTATTTTCTCACAATTCTGGAGGCTTAGAAGTCCAAGATTAGGGTGCGGGCTGATTCCTTTCCTGGTGAAGTTTCTCTTCCTGGCTTGCAGGTGAATGCCTTCTTAATGTGTGGGGATAGGAAGAAAGGGGGGGGTGGAGAGAGAGAGAGAGAGGGAGAGAATGTTACTGATGCCTCTTCTTGTAAGAGCACTAATCTCTTCATGAGGGCTTTACTCTCATGACCTCATCTAAACCTAATTACCTCCCAAAGGCCCCATCTCCAAATACCATCACATTAGGGGTTAGGATATCAAGATATGAATTTGGGGGTGGGTCATAATTCTGTCCATAGCAGGGATATAAAATACTAAATAAGCAAGTACACAATGGCCCAGATGGTAATATACACTACGGAGAAAGATAAAGCAAGGTCCCGGGAGAGTGTTGATGGGGCTGCTGTGTTATGTAAGGTAGTCGTGAAATGCCTTTCTGATAGTGTGACATTGTAAACTGTGACTTTAGTCTTAACTGACATGGAGAATCATTGTTGACTTTTGGGCAGAGGAGTGATGTGATTTAACTTATGTTTTAAGTGAATCCCTTTGCCTCCTGTATTGGAAATAGACTTGGAGGTGGGGTGGGTTGGAAGACCACTGCAGAAATGCAGGCAGGAGTTTGCAAAGGGCTACAGAGGCAGAGGTAATGAGAAGTGGTCAGATTCTTAATATATTTTGAGCATAGAGCTGACAGGATTTGGTGATGGATTGGATGTGGGATGAGAGAAAGAGAAAAATCAAGGATGATTTTGTTGACCCGAGCAACTGAAAAAAGAAAGTTGCTATTTCTTGAGATGGGGAAGACCGAGTGATAAATTTTTTGTGTGTGGGGGGATTAGAGTTTGGTTTGGCTATTAGAGATGACAGCAGAGAAGTCAAGAGGGCGCTTGAATACAGGAGTCAAGAGTTTTGCGGCCGAATCTGAGCTGGGGATCTATATGTGGCAGTCATCAGAACATAGACCTACTCAAAGTCATGAGACCCAATGAGGTCAGCAAGGAGGTCCCAGGACTGTCTCTGGGAGAGCAACAGGAAGCATCAAAGCTGACAGAAAGAAAAACCAGGTAAAAGGTGATCCAAGAGAAAGTGGCATTTCAGAATCCAAGGGAAAAAAAGTATTCTGAAAAGAAAGAAGTGGCCAACATGTCAAATGCTAAAGGTTTTTGTTTGTTTGTTTGTGTTTTTAGGCAGGATTTCACTCTGTCACTCAGGCTGGAGTGCAGTGGCATGGTCACGATTGGGCAGCCTTGACCACCTGGGCTCAAGTGATCCTCCTGCCTCAGCTTCCCAAGTAGCTGGGACCACAGGTGTGCATCACCATGCCCAGCTCTTTTTTTTTTTTTTTTTTTTTTTTTTTTTGGTAGAGATGGGGTTTAGCCATGTTGCCCAGCTGGTCTCGAACTTCTGAGCTCAAGCAATCCTCCCTCCTCGGCCTCCCAAAGTGCTGGGATTACAGGCAGGAGCCACTGGACCCAGGCTGCTAAAGGTTTTAGTGAAGGAATAATAGTGAAGTTGTGTGTACTAGACTGTCAATTGCCCGCCTGGCATCGTGTAAAGCTGGAACTACATTTCCCTGGAATCCCCTTCCCTGTATGGTTCTTAGCTGGGCAAGAGAGAAACTTGCATTGAGATTTGGAAGACAGCAGTGAAGCAAAAGCCATTATTCACAGGAAGTCATGGCAACCAGTTGCGATGGCTTTGCAGGTTTCTCCAGCGCTCCCGCGTGGTAGCTGTGATACTCAGGTGCAACCTGGAAGTTTCCTGGTTTTCCTGTGAACTTTGGCTGCTTCTCCCTATTCACTGCTTTAGTTTAGGGCCTAGCAGGGTTGTCCAGTCTTTTGGCTTTCATGAACTACACTGGAAGAAGAATTGTCTTGGGCCACACATAAGATACAGTAACAATAACGATAGCTGATGAGCTAAAAAAAAAAAGGCCCATGCATAAATTTCATAATGTTTTAAGAAAGTTAGGGACTGTTTTCCTTCTTTAGCTGCAGTCTTTAATTCCTGTGTTAAACCCCTTACTTCTTAATACTTGTAGTAACTGTTTTCTGACCAAATCCAGACTGATAAATTGTTTGGATCTTTATGGGGTCACTTCAAAAATCCTAGACACTTCTTAGGATTTAAAATGCAGTAGAGCCCCTGACTGCCTTTTTAAATTCCTCGTTCATTTTTCTCCAAGAAATGCTGAAATGAGTCAAGGACAAACATTAAGTAAGTAAACCCAAAGGCTACACAACTCCTTTACCTCGGAGAATGTACACATTTCTCCTGTCTCTAGCTCTTTGGACAATCTGCCAGCAATACAAAATACCCAAAATTTGATTGTGAGTTTCCCTTCCCTGTCAAGTAAAACCCTCTATTTCTCAGAGAAGTTTAACTTCTTCCTCTCATTAATACTGTCTTCTTCCCCACAAAAGTGAAAGCACACCTGGCTATTCAATCTTCTGTTTTTTTTTCAACAGATAAAGTGCAAAAAGTGGATTGGCATCTTCATAAAATTACGGCTCCACAATCTCTCTCCCCCAATCTCATGTTATTTTGTTCAGTCACAGTCTTCCTCATAGACCAGGAAGAGGGCTGGCTATTTCTCAGGCATGATGGGGTGCTCGGTCTTACCCTAGATCTCTTTTAAAAAGAGTTCTCCATGTGTTACAGTTTTCTAGTCTCATAGGTCGTGCACACATAAGAACTCTGAATCAGTCCCCACCCACAGAATTTAAAAAACACAAATAAATCTGCAGATCAAACAAGCTCAAGTAGCAGTTTACAATGTGGACTCCTAATCTCTGACTGGATTTTGAAATGATCTGAGAATCTAATTGTATTACATTTTAGATTTACATGAATCTTATCAGCCATAGATCATGACAAAAACTTAATATTTTTTGGGAAAGAAGGTAAACAGAGGAAATGGTAGAAAGAAGATGAGAAAGGTTTTTTCGGCCACAGTGTGGCCATGGAGCCAATTAAATCATGGCAGTTGGCCAGTGTAGAGAGCCTGTGAACTTAAAAATTCTACCGAAAGAGAGATCAACACAAGTGGTAGCATCTGACATGTGGTATTCTGTACCTATTTTTTTTTAACTATAACAACTTGAAGATGATTCATATTGGTACATACAGAACTGCATCAGTCTTTTTGACAACTGTATAGTATTCTTGTGTTTGTTTGTGCTATAATTTATTTAACCAGTTCCTTACTGAGTGACACATTGTTCTAAAATCATTTTTTAAATTAAATACAATACTGGAATGAATGATCTTTGTATCATTTGAAGTTCATTCTGAAAAACAGAATTTGCTTAGTATTTCAAACAGAGAAAAATTCAATATAGGTAACCGATTAGAATGGTCTTAGAAGTGTTGGGAGAGCAAAAGGAAAAAGGTTTAGGGGCCCTGGGAAAAAAAGGAAGATGGTGTGATAATCTGAGATCAGGAGCTGCTAATACCCCCAGGGTAGAGGTGGCACTGTAGGAGCTAATGTTGAGCCAGTTGGTTCTGGCTCTGCCAGAGTTGTGCACCTAGATTAGAACTGAAATAGCTGAAAAGATGCTGCCTATCATGCTGGGGGGTCGGAATCCTGTTGCCACTACAGTTCCTGCCAGCCTCCCCCAGCAACTACCACACTGCCAGGGCCAGAAGCAGAATGTTTGTCTCTTCTTGGACCAAGAAAAGACCACTAGAGTCTGTTATTGGGAGAACCAAACAGGAAGCAGCTGACAAGGGAGCCTGAAAAATGTGGTCTGCACACTCCCAGCCCTAGGAGTACAAGCATAGTCTAGAAGAGTGGCTGTGTGCTGAGGAGCAGTGGGTCACTGACCAGCACAATCTGTGCCTTAGAGTCCTTGGCACCCATCCATGTTCTTCTACCCTGATATGGTATGGCTCTGTGTCCCCACTCAAATCTCATATTGAATTGTAATCCCCACATGTCAGGGGAGGGCATGGTGGGAGGTAATTGGATCATGGAGGTGGACTTCCCCCTTGCTGCTCTTGTGATAGTGAGTGAGTTCTCATGAGATCTGGTTGTTTGAAGGTGTGTGGCACTTCCCCCTTTGCTCTCTTTCTCTCTCCTGCTCTGCCATGGTAAGATGTGCTTGCTTCCCCTTCACCTTCTGCCATGATTGTAAGTTTCCTGAGGCCTCCTAGTGATGCTTCCTGTACAGCCTGTGGAACTGTGAGTGAGTCAATGAAACCTCTCTTCTTCATAAATTACCCAGTCGCAGATAGTTCTTTATAGCAGTGAACTCATATTTTGCCTTTATTTGAGTATATTTTCAGGAAAAATTCCTCACGTGGAATTGCCCTGACAGTAGATAAGCAGGAAATTTTGAAAGCTATAACCCAAACTCCTTTCCACAGAGGTGTACTTGAGAGTGCCTATTTTTCCATGCCCTTACCAAATCAGCATCTTCACCCATTCAGTAGAACTAGCCTTTAAACCCTTATCAGTCATGCTCCAAAGCCTCTGCTCTCAGGAAACACCACACTTACCACCCCTGGAAAAAAAACAAAAATCATTCTTAAAAATGTCTGAAATTCCCTTAACTAGAGTCTCATGGTTTGTAATATTAAAATAAAGACACACCCGGCAAGGTTAAGGCTATCATTCATTCACACAGCCCCATGAGTTAGCTCAACAGCATGCTCTTAAAAAGGGAGGTGACAGGATTTCAAAGGTTCAGGAAACACGGCCTAGGGCTGGCTCTGCAGTGACCGGAGCAGGGAGTTATTCTTCCGAGCTGGGTGGAAGCCCAGATGCCACCTGATCAAAACCCTTCATTGTGTTGCTGGAGAAAGAGGCCTAGAGAGGTTAATGACCGATGGGCAGAGCTGACCAGAAGAACAGGCTGGAGAGGACTGAACTTTTTGGAGTCTGATGGAGCATGTCTTATTCTCAGGCAACTAACAAATCAGGAGCACCAGAATAATTCTAGGGGGGAAAAATAAAATATTTAACAAAAATATTTACTGTTCATTATGGGAAAAATAAGGACTCTTTTGGACTTAGTTTATGGTATAATGTCATTTGTATTTTTATTTTCATAATGGTGAGGGATCACCATTCACTGTTTACAGCCTCTGTAGGGCCTAATTCAGCCTGAAATCTAGGTCTCTTGACCTAATGCTTTGTTCCTTCTTCCTCCACATGCCGTCTCTGTTTGAGCACCACTAGACATTACAATACATCAGCAGAAAATGATATTTCTGTTTCTTCACTATTTATTCTGATTTTAAGTGAAATGAATGGTGAAATACACACATTATCTATTATTTTATTTATTTATTTTTGAGATGGAGTCACGCTCTGTCACCCAGGCTGGAGTGCAGTGGTGTGATCTTGGCTCACTGTAACCTCCGCCTCCCAGGTTCAAGTGATTCACCTGCCTCAGCCTCCCGAGTAGCTGGGATTACAGGCGCCCACAACCATGCCTGGCTAATTTTTGTATTATTATTATTATTTTTTATTTTTTAATAGAGACAAGGTTTTGCCGTGTTGGCCAGGCTGGTCTAGTACTCCTGACCTCAAGTGATCCGCCCGCCTCAACCTCCGAAAGTGCTAGGATTACAGGTGGGAGCCATTGCGCTGGGCCTCAAATTATTTAAAACACATTTTTAGAATTCCTAAAAAATTTCATTGGGACTCAAAATTTCATACATTTCAAATATAAAAATGTATAAACCTAGAAAACCTCAAGTAATATAAAAATTTATGAAAATAAGCATACATTATAATAGTATAAATTATTCATCAATAAAATCTATAAAATAGTGTCTTGTTTTCTTTCTGCTTTTTCTTAGATATGGGGTCTTGCTATATTGCACAAGATGGTCTCCAACTCCTGGATTCAAGCAATCTTCCTGCCTCAGCTTCCTAAGCAGCTGGGACTACAAGTACACGTCACCACTCCTGGCTCAGACATTTTCTTTTGACTATCTTCAAGTCACCCCATCTCTTTGAAGAGTACTTTTTGAAAATTTCGTACTTTGTTTTTTTAGAGTGACAGTCTTTTTATTATGGTAAGCTGTTCTATTTTGTTTTGAAGAGAGCATTTCTGCTTGTCTTTGTTTTTCTTAGTTTCATCATGCACAGACTGAGACTTATGCTTTCAGTGGAAGCTCCAGTTGCACATCTGTTTGCTCATTGCGGCCTTTATGGGTGTAGATCTGTGTAGATGTAAAAAAATGAACACAGATTTGTTTTGTTGCATACATCAAAAATTGAGTCATTGATTTTTGAATACATAAAGGATTTAGATTTCATGTTTTTTGGAAGTATGAAAATATCAGCATCATTCAGAACTAAGTATGTATTTCAATACTTAAGAATATCATGGTTTACCAGAATACTGAACATGGTATCATAAACACTAAGTACCATACTATCAGTTTTTGATCACTTTTCTTCTTCGTTTTGTCTTTCTGCTTCCTTGGCTTATAATTCAGATTTGTAAAATAACATGAGTGTGGCTGAATTGTGAATTATGTAGACCCCTGTGACTGGACCTGAAAACTTGACCACTTTTTAGGACCACTTTTTATTTCTTTGAGGAAGTGCTTGCTTACATTTAAGCAACTGACTTAAAAATGGGCTTTTTGTATTGCAGCATGTCTACTAGTCAATGTATGAAAATATTAATTTTATATATAGTTCTTATCTACTCTACAATAAGAAAAGCTGGACAGAGACTTAACTGGTGAACAAGGATAAGAATCTAAGTCTTAACAACCAAATCAACAGCCCCTATTGAAAGCTCATTTGAGCTACTGCATTCTGCTGAGGGATGGTGCTCTTTTATAAAACTCATGTCACAGACTAAAACATTTGTCCAAACTAACTTCTCATAAACCTAGCCTCAGACGTGAAGAAGCATCTATGTAAAGACTGCGTTTACAAGGGATGTCATTCCCTATCACATCCATGTCAGTGCACCCTTGAGTGTCCTAAGTATTAGGGTGAACTATATGAAATTCCTTTGCTTTTGGTAAAAAAAAAAAAAAAATAGCCAAGCAGCAGCAGTTTCTTACAGCGTAACCTATACTTTGTTTCCTGAAGATGCTATTTCTAGCATCTTTTTCTTTCCAAATATTTTTGGGAATATTTGTAATAAAAAATAAGCATAGTTTACCTGTTTCGGTCTCTCCTACCTGAAATTATAGTAATAGAAGCTTAATTAATAAATATCCACTGGAATCAGATGTCGGGAGAAAGTGGCCAAAGGAAGCTGCCTCTGGGTATCACTGTCCAGGTCCCCATCATAGTATCTTTCTAGAATCTTAGGGATGGCGGTACTGTAGGTGAGACTTCCGAGATATTTGTGGCTGTCCTTGACATTCTGTCCACCATTTTTTTTTTCTGGTCATAACACACAAGCTCCAAATCATCTACATTAGAAAGCCAATATCTAGTCCTAAACATTACGTTTTCATTCATAGTTGAAAGAAACTCAGTGTCCCACTGTCAGCTCTGAAAATAGACTATTAAAATAGAATTACATACCAAGTGCAATTAAGAACAAATCAGCCAACTTGGTGCAAAGTTTCAGCTTTTTTAGGAAAGCAAGACATCCTTTGAACCATTTGCTTTAAATTCTAATGTTACTGTAAAAATATTTAATAACTCAAAAGGTGCTGTTTCTTTTATAACATAGTTGAATACATTTTCCTTCTTCAATAGTTCTCTTTATATTTGTATAAATATCAGCTTGTGTGTACGCCATTAATTTTATGGTACTTACAATGAATGTGAAGGAAAGCTCTGTAATTGGGGTTAGATACTTTTATTATGAAATGCATGCCCTAGTTTAGTGCATACATTAAAACATTATAACTAGGTTTGAATTTCTAATTTCATTTTTGTCTGAAATCAAAGAAATTTTATCTAGACTATCATACCTAAAGAAAACAAAATAAATACGAAAGCTCGCACTGTAACAAATAAATCTCATGTATTCCTTTATAGTGGAGAGAATTGCTTTGCAAAGGAGTCCAGGTCCCACCGGAAGGACCCCCTTCCATACACCGTAGCAATTCCGTAGCAGCCTCGACTCTCCCCTCGACGGACAGCAGATGGCGCTGCGCTTCCCATTTTGCCGCCTCGGTGGCGGGACAGGAATCCAACTTTGGCAGAGCTGAGTTGAAGATTGCAAGCGACCTATTCCGAGCTGGGTGAGCAAAGGAAACTACGCATTTAGAATCACAGTTTACCTCGCTTCATACTGATCTGTGCTCTGGAGGACGTGCAGTTTCTGTTACATGTGATCCAGGGGGCTGCGTGTGTTGGATTAACCGGGCTCATTACGTCTTACAAATTGCTTGTCAGGAGAAGGCAGCTCGGGGCAGGTTGAAAGACTGTTATCAGCAGCACTCAACAAACATCAGCGAACGGACACTCTCTTCTTCATCATAACCAATTTGTATTTATGAAAGATCCCTTGGTGCTCTTTAGTGGGCTGCAGTGAGAAGATGTGATTTGGAACTTTGAGAAGTTTGTGGTCAAGAAGGTGACCTGCAGATATTCAGTCAAAACTAAACAACCACAGCCACACTTCTCTGCGTTCCTGCTTCATCCACTCATTGTGCCCAGGGCTCCCCAGCAATCTCTCCGCTCTTTAGTCTTTTGGTTTGTGTCTGCTTTCTTCTTCTAGGTCTGTTCCTTTGGCTAAATTTGCATGTGTTGACCGTGGCAAACAGATATATTTAGCTTTATTTTCTTAAATAACTTATAGAAATGCTTTTTGGGTGGGAAAGTGATGACATTAAGTATAATAATCATGTAGTTTTCAGCTAGTTGGGATCTTAGGGATTATTTAACTCAACTGATTAAATAATACTGTGAGAAAGTGACGCCTGGCCATGTGCAATGCCGTGCTCAGTTCACATAGAGGCAGAGTGAGAACTCTGACCCAGGTTTCTTGAGGATCAGTCTAACAACCCATCTGATGTTATGCTCGATTATATTTTTAAACAAGTACAGATCATAAATGTCAAGGTTAATTTATTTCCCTGCCATGCGGATCATGGATGGATATTGGTCACACTCATCGCACAGCCATACGTGCAAATCCCTCCCCACCATTCCCATCAGAGTCAGTGGCTTGGTTCTCTTTGCTGCTGTTCCCTTTGTTCACACCTATACCAGGCACTAGCCCCGTTGTGCTGGAGTTTCCTCTCTAGACTATGAGATTGCTAGGAACAGGCATGCCATCTCACTCATGTTTGTGCCCTCTGTGCCCTGCGTAGTGCCTGACACCTCATAAGCTCTCAGAAATGTTGACTGAATGAATGAACTTTTGGTGGAGACTACCTTGAACATAGCAAACCAGGGTACGGTGGGAAGCCCTCCTCAGGCTCTGGACATAGAGACACGCTGGAAATATAAGAGAAAGCCTTGAATGTATAGCTCAGCTTGAAAGTGAGAAAAGACACCCTTACATGCTAAAAACAAAACAAAACAAAAAACAAAAGCAACAGCCAGAATTCAGAGTGTTGCAGAGTAGAAGCAGAACAGGACCTAAGTAGGTGGCGGGAAAGGAGACATTTTCAGCAGGATGAATTGCAAGTGAGTTTATATCCATAGAACCTTACAGGACAGGCAGCCATTCTATGTACCTGAGCTTTGTTTTATATCTGGATGCAAGGCCCTGGAACTAGGGCATAAAAAGTTGCTTAATGACTGCATGCTTTTGGAACCCCTTCTTTTGTGGACCTCCAAGGTGCCACATAAGCTGCTTTGGCTTTATATATTTTGGAGGGTAACTGATGGTAGAGACCATCCAGTAAGTCAGTGAAGGACAGGGGTCCCTGAAGTCACTTTAAACTACTGTGGTCTCTACAGGAAACAAAGGAAAAACCAAAAATTAGCCAACAGGCTGTTTAATAAACCAAGTGTCTTATTCCAGATGAGGCTAGCCCATTTACCTCAAATGTATAGTTTATGGATGTTTGTCATCCTGTTCTTTTTTTATTTGTGTAATGGGAAAAATTTGCAATCACAAAATATGTTCTGCAAGAGATTTCATATTTCATTTAAAAAATTCAACAGAAACATGATTGTGAGTGCTCTATATCCCAGGGTTTGGAAGAAATTTACAGTCATTATTGGGGATCCTTCCAACTCCCTTGGGTTGTATAATAATATGGTTTGGATTTCTGTCCCCAACCAAATCTCATGTTGAATTGGAAGAGGTTCCTGGTGGGAGGTGATTGGATCATGAAAGCTCATTTCTCCCTTGCTGTTCTTGTGGTAGTGAGTGAGTTCTCACGAGATCTGATGGGGTTTAAAAGTGTGGGGCACATGGCCGGGAGCGGTGGCTCACACCTGTAATCCCAGTACTTTGGAAGGCCGAGGCTGGTGGATCACGAGATCGGGAGATCGAGACCATCCTAGCTAACATGGTGAAACCCCATCTCTACTAAAAATATAAAAAATTAGCCAGGCATGGTGTTGGGCGCCTGTAATCCCAGCTACTCAGGAGGCTGAGGCAGGAGAATGGTGTGAACCTGGGAGGCGGAGCTTGCAGTGAGCGGAGATCGCGCCACTGCACTCCAGCCTGGGCGACAGAGCAAGACTCCAGCTCAAAAAAAAAAAAAAAAAAAAAAAAAAAGCGTGTGGCACATCTCCCCTCTTTGCTGTCTCTCTCCCCTGCCACCATATCAAGAAGTGCTTGCTTCCCTTTCGACTTCTGCTGATTGTTTAAGTTTCCTGAGGCCTCCCAGTCATGCTTCCTGTTAAACCTGTGGGGCTGTGAGTCAAACCTTTTTCTTCATAAATTACCCAGTCTCAGGGTTTTTTTTTTTTTTTTTTTTTGAGACAGGGTCTCACTCTGTTGCCTAGGCTGGAATGCAGTGGCATGATAGACTGGAATGCAGTGGCACGATTTCAGCTTACTGTAACCTCTGCCTCCCAGGTTCAAGTTACTCTCCTGCCTCAGCCTCTTGAGTGGCTCGGATTATAGGCATGCACCACCAAGCCTGGCTAATTTTTGTATTTTTAGTAGAGAAGAGGTTTCACCATGTTGGTCAGTCTGGTCTCGAATTCCTGACCTCAAGTAATCCACCCGCCTAGGCCTCCCAAAGTGCTGAGATTATAGGCGTGAGCCACCACGCCTGGCTTCAGGTAGTTCTTTATAGCAGTGTGAAAACAGACTAATACATATAAGAAGAAAGGCGCCTTAGTGGTGCCTTAGTTTATGGGGAGGATCATCCAGCCTCAGTCCAGCATGGTCACAGCTGGCACCTGCTCTGCCCAAGCCATGTGTCTTGGTGGCAGGCAGCTCTGTGACTTCTGGGCTAAGTTCAGGCACAAGAAACTTGCCCAGCTCAGAGAGCCCCACATTCAGAGGCCTGACCTGAATGAGCCTTCACTAATTGCATTCCTTCCTTTCCTGTAGCATAAAATACGCAGAAGAAATACACAGTGTAGTATTTCAAAATATTATCCTGCCCCACCTATGGGATAGGGACAATGACATCTGTCCTACTCTCCCTTTCTCAAGGATGTTGAAAGGATTGGGTGAGCTGGGTCTGTGCGAACACTTTTTCAGTTATAAAATGGTGGACGCTGCGGGAGTCACAGCTCCTATGGGGGCTGAGACCGGTGGAAGATGCCATGTGGGGTCTGACATTGTCCCACCCTAAGGGTTTTCCTCCAGCATGCTTGTTTCCTTGGGTTGAACACCAGATGACCTAGAGGTGTTCATTTGTGTTTAGGGATTGTGTTATCCAAAAACACATGCCTTTAAATCCTAGAATCACGTTCAGTGAGACGAGACGGTCTCATGATGAAAGCATCTGAGAATGGAGTCCCATGGAGTGAACGATGTTGTCATGTTTCAGCTCACTTGCGCATTCCATGTCATGTTTGCATTAAAAGGATAGGTCAGAGGCCAAGAGTGGTGGCTCTCACCTGTAATGTCAGCATTTTGGGAGACCTAGGCAGCAGGATCACTTCAGCCCAGGAGTTTGAGACAAAGCTGGACAAGGTAATGAGAACCCAACTCGACAAAATAAAAATAAATAAATAAATAAATAAATAAATAAATAAATAAATAGGCCAGGCGCAGTGGCATGTGCCTGTAGTCGCTGTTACTTTGGGGACTGAGGTGGGAGGATCACTTGAGCTTGGAAGGTTGAGGTTGCAGTGAGCTATAAGTGAACCACTGCACTCTAGCCTGGTGACAGAGCAAGACCCTGTCTCAAAAAAAAAAAAAAAAAAAAAAGGATTGGTCAGAGATGTTGCCTGTACTATTTAAATGGTTGCTCCCTCTCACTTTTTTTTCTCTCTGTATTTTTCTCTCTTCTTTTTCTTTTTATTCCTGGAAAATTTATGGTTGAATTCAAGTTAATCTGAATATGTGACTCCTCGTGTTAGAGAGAATCACAAGGTTTGAAATCAAAAGACTTGGCTTCAGGTTCCAGGTCTGCCACTTACATACTGAGTGACCTTGAGCAATTCAGCCTTTCTCAGTGGCCTGTTTCTAACCTGCAGACTTTGGGCTGACAATGCTGATCTCTCGGTGGGGATGAAAGGCAACAGTGAGGTCGTATGTATGGAAGCACACTGTGAATGTAAACTGCTTGACAGGACTTAGTTATTGTGACTGATTGTGCTTTTTTGATGTTTTTGACCTGTATCTTTAATATCCTGTGACTGCTGGACATCAATAGCTGGTTAAATACTGTTTTATCCCTCACCCAAGAGTTTTGGAGCTATAAAAAAACAAATTAGCTCTTAAATCCATGGAAAGTAAAAGCTGTGGTTTTTTTGTTTGTTTGTTTGTTTGTTTGTTTGTTTTTTGAGATAGAGTCTTGTCTCGTCTCCCAGGCTGGAGTGCAGTGGTGTGATCTTGGCTCACTGAAACCTCTGCCTCTTGGGTTCAATCGATTCTCCCAGCTTAGCCTTCCGAGCAGCTGAGATTACAGGTGTGTGCTTCCATGCCTGGCTAATTTTTGTATTTTTAGTAGAGACGGGGTTTCACCATGTTGCCCAGGCTGGTCTCAAACTCCTGGCCTCATGTGATCCATTTGCCTCGGCCTCCCAAAGTGCTGGGATTACAGATGTGCTGCCACCGCATCCTGCCAAAAGTTAATATTTTGAGTTTCTTGTACTGACTGGGGACACTGTTAGGAGCAGGGTTTAAGAGTCTGTTTAAAACTCTCCAGGGAGCACAGGTGTCCCCTAGGCTCCCTCCAACCTGAGGAAAAGGGGCTTTGATGAGGGTGTAGGGCTAAAGGGGTTTCCAGGGATACACCTGGGCTGCAAGGCTCCAGGGCAGGGGTGTAAGAATGGTGGTGGGGCCAGCAGGTTACAGCCTCAGGGCTGACTGCTACTCTCCCCTGCTAGCCTATGAGGCTGGTGTCATAGCAAGGCTTGAGCTGCTTCCAAGTTGGTCCAAGTTACTTGGAGGGACTCTTGCCCTCTGATGTCTGGGGGCTGGATAACAACAGAATTTATTATCCAAACCTGGACATGAGTGGGAAAGGGTCTGTTACGAATAATTACACAGAACTAGCCCAGGCAAACCAAGAGGGGGTTACCCTACCTATGAATGTGGTTTAGGGAAGACCCTTCTCTTGGTCCTCTTTTTCTTGGCTTCCTTTTTCTTTTATTCCTTTTTTTTTTTGAGATGGGGTCTTGCTCTGTCACCCCGGCTGGAGTGCAGTGGTGCAATCATGGCTCACTGCAGCCTCGACTTCATGGGCTCAGGTGATTCTCCCATCTCAGCCTCCTGAATAGCTGAGACTACAGGCGTGCATGACCACACCCAGCTAAATTTTTTTGTAGTTTTTGTAGACGCGGTGTTTTGCCCTGTTGCCCAGGCTGGTCTCAAAACTCCTGGGCTCAAGCAACCCTCCCAACTCAGCTCACACCTGTGCTGGGATTACAGGTGTGAGCTACCATGCCTGGCCTTCCTTTTTCTTTACATCTTTCCACAGCGTGGTGAAACCCCAAGAGCTAAGAGAAGAGTGGACCCAGGGAAGAGGCCATGAGGGGTCTCCCAGCCTGGGCTTCTGGTCCAAGTGCAACAGGATTAGGCATTTCACATAAGGCTTTCAGCAGATACTTAGACTCATCAGCAGTGAGCCCTTGACTGGCCTTGTTTTCCATCCTCCTCAGGTGCCCAGCTGGAGCTGAGGCTGGCTGTGGTAGGATGGGTACCAGAGGTCCTCATTTCCATTTCATTCATCACAAAGGTCTTCCCTAAACCACATTCATAGGTAGGGTGGCCCCCATCTTGGTTTGCCTGGGCCGGTCCTGTGTAATTATTCATAACAGACCCTTTCCCACTCATGTCCAGGTTTGGATAATAAATTCTGTTGTTACCCAGTCCCTAGACATCAGAGGGCAAGAGTTCCTCCAAGTAACTTGGACCAACTTGGAAGCAGCTCGAGCCTTCCTATGACACCAGCCTCACAGGCTAGCAGGGGAGAGTAGCAGTCAGCCCTGAGGCTGTAACCTGCTGGCCCCACCACCATTCTTACACCCCTGCCCTGGAGCCTTGCAGCCCAGGTGTATCTCTGGAAACCCCTTTAGCCCTACACCCTCATCAAAGCCCCTTTTCCTCAGGTTGGAGGGAGGCTAGGGGACACCTGTGCTCCCTGGAGAGTTTTAAACAGACTCTTAAACCCTGCTCCTAACAGTGTCCCCAGTCAGTACAAGAAACTCAAAATATTAACTTTGGGCAGGGCGAGGTGGCAGCACATCTGTAATCCCAGCACTTTGGGAGGCTGAGGCAGGTGGATCACATGATCCACCATGTCAAATAATAATTTATAAGAACTAACATTTATTAAACACTTACAGTGAAAGCTTGCTAAGAAGTTTATGTGGATTATCTCACTTAATCCATGGAACCGTCCCTCTAGGGGAGTTATTATTGTGTCCATTTTGCAGATGAGACAGCTGAGGTTAGGAGGATAAGTTGCCAAGCTCTCACAGCCAATAAGTGGCAGATCTGGATTTGAATTTGGGGTCTGCCTGGAGAACAAACTTTTAACCATGATACTGTCAGCCACAGCTCCATCTGGAAGGAGCTTACTGCCCGGGAGAGACAGTGAAGTACACTTTGCTGTAAAAAACTCTGTAATAGAGACATATCCACATCAGAATAGGGGCACGGACAGGGAGCGACTCCTCTTGCTAGGAGGAGCTGAACAAGCTGCAGGAGTGACATTTTTAGCTTCCTCATCTTGGCTACACTGTCTTGCTCCCAGCTGGTTTCAGCTTGCTTCCTCTCACTCTCTGCTGCTCACTCGCCTCACAGTGTAACTAGGCTTCCCTGTGACTCCTCTCACCTCTTCCTAAAGGTGGGCAGTTTTCTTCTGCTGAACATCTGGAAATATGTCAATGCAGAGGTAACTCAAAAAGCCAACTAAGGCTGGGCGCAGTGGCTCACGCCTGTAATCCCAGAACTTTTGGAAGACAAGGCGGGCAGATCACTTGAGGCCAGGAGTTCAAGACAAGCCTGGCCAACATGGTGAAACCCCGTCTCTACTAAAAATACAAAAATCAGCCAGGCGTGGTGGCGCACCTGTAGTTCCAGCTACTCAGGAGGCTGAGGCACAAGAATCCTTTGAACCCTAGAGATGGAGGTTGCAGTGAGGAGAGATGAAGGTTGCAGTGAGCTGAGATTGTGCCACTGTACTCCAGCCTGGGCGACACAGTGAGATTCTGTCTCAAAAAAAAAAAAATCAACTAAAGGGAGACATTTATGAAGACTTTCTGATATTCTGTGTGAAAATATTTGCACACATTCACTGGGGATGCCTTCCCAACTAATTTCCAATGGAACTCAGGGCTGGACATATGCTTTAAATGCTTGACTATTCTAGGCTTAAATAAGTAATGCATCGAAACAACAGCAAAAATAGATACTTGCAGCAGAAATTTCGGTGCAAAATTTGGCTTGTACCAAACATGTGTATAGTCTTTTTTTGTTTGTTTGTTTGAAGTAAGAGATGGGTCAGATTGGTGGAAGACAACTGATACTTATCAAAGTATGTCAGTTAGGCTATTTGTTAAAATTCAGATACCTGCACTCAATCCAAAAATTCTTATTCTCAGACAAGATTTTGGGGGTGGTGGAGTCCAGGAATCTGTATTTAAAAAGATTTCAGATGATTAAAAAAAAATGCCAACTAGTCAGGGCAAGGTGGCTCACGCCTGTAATCCCAGCACTTTGGGAGGCCGAGGCAGGCAGATCACCTGAGGGTCAGAAGTTCAAGACTAGTCTGGCCAACATGGCGAAACCCTGTCTGTAAGGGGTGGCATGTGCCTGTAATCCCAGCTACTCAGGAGGCTGAGAAATCACTTGAACCCAGGAGGCGGAGGTTGCAGTGAGCCAAGATCACGCCACTGCACTCCAGCCTGGGTGACAGAGCAAGACTCCATCTCAAAAAAGAAAAGAAAAGAAAAAAAATGCCAACTAAAGTTTGAGATCCATTACTTTTAATTAATTAATTAATTAATCTAGCCATTCAATATTTAATAAACTCTGTGATCTGCCAGTTTTTTTTCTTTTTTGATTCCTCAGCTCTTTGAATTCTCTGCCAGTCATTTTATGGGTTATAATGACATGGTCTCTTCATTTCAAGGACTCACATGTCAGTGAGAGACATATAAGGAGGGTCCACAGAGCAGGCAAGTTATATTATCTAACCACTCTAGGAATCCTGGAATCTCCTGGCTGACCTTCAAGGTATGAGACTCTGTAATTAGAACCTTTTAAATAGGCTCCTTTTTAGCCTGGGCAACATTGTGAGACCCCATCTCTACAAAAAATTTTAAAAAAATTAGCTGGGCATGGTGGTGCATGCCTGTAATCCCAGCTACAGGGGGGACTGAGATGAGAGAGGATTGCTTGAGCCCAGGCATTCAAGGCTGCAGTGAGCTGTGATTGTGCCACTGTACTCCAGCTGGGGTGACAGAGTGGCACTCTGTCTCAAAAAAAAAAAAAAAGCTCCTTGGAAGAAATTTTGGAGAGCAGTTGTTCTGTCTGTCATTTTGTGAAACAGAGAGATTATACTCTCACAGCAGAGCCAAAAGTGAATCCTGAATTCTACAGGAAATGAGCAGGGTAGGCAGGGAACAGCACCAAGGAGTCTGGATTGTGCTCCTGAGCCCTGGGCTGGAGTGGGTTGGGAGAGATATCTGGTGCTGCCTAGCAAATGTCTCTTAGCTTGGTGTCAGATGCCAGGGGAGCTTAAAAATACACAAAAGAGCCAAGCTTCCCTTTTGTGGGAATTCTAGCTGGGTTGGAACCTTTTCCCACCATGGTAAGAGAGAAGCAGCTGCCTTAGCAGTGAGAGGAAGCCACACAGGGCCTTTGATTTGCATGTGTCCACAGGCATCAGTTCAGTTCAATGAGCTGATGAAATTGATTTTCTCACTGCATTGACTGGTTGTCAAACTGAATTGCTGTGGTGATTGGCTGGTTCAGCATCTTGCAGATATAGCCACCAACTCCAATGACTCGATCACATTCTAAAAAATGAATTTCACAAAGGTGCTGTTTTTAAACCAAGTTTCAATTCATTTTGAGAAAGTTGGGCATTCGCTAAAAAGTAGGTAAAAAACCCTCTTACTTGATGACATTGACAAACACTTGGTATAAAACATTCAAGGTGTCACATAAGAATTAATTTGGCTGAACTTTACTGTGCTTTGACTTTGAAACTATTATGAGTGACAACTAAATAAGTTAAATATATTCTACTTTGCATTCAGCAGGTTTGCAGTGTTTTTTTTTTTTCTATCTGTTATAACTTTCTTCAAATTTGTGAGTCACACTATCAATCAAAGGTTGGGACAAAATTGTGAAGGGCCTTCAATGCTAATCAAGAGGATAGTTTTTCACAAAACATAATTTTTTTGCCTGAATTGCTAAACACTATTTGCATTTTTCAAAGTCTGTGTAGAAAACAAATATACTCTGCCTTCAAGTAGGACATGCATGATGAGAACCCTCAAATGATATTAGCAACACTCATATAGCATTAGTGAAATCCCTGTCATTAGGAAATGTTATTTCATATAAAAAAGTTGATAATAGGATACAAAGATGCTAATATGATTAGGTGATGAGCTGATAATGGGAATTTTTTTTCATATCAGTGATTTTCATTCATCAACAGCAAAGCTGATCTCCCTAATATGATATGATATTATAATAAAACCCAGGCAGAGTCAGCAGTGAAATTTATGGTGCAAAAGAAAAGTCAATAGCATTATAAATCTTATAAACTGATTATATTTCAGCTGTCAATGTTCTTGGCTGGGAAATCTCCTTTAATACCCGTGTCTTAGTCCTATTTACTTTAGTGATACTGAGTAAGGAAATGAAATAGATTTAAATCTTTATCTTAAGGATAACTTTAATGAGTGACAGTCAATTCCACATGGCCTGACGGGTACAGATCTGCCACCTTTGCTTGACTAAACTCCCATCCAATTAAATGCATATTTAAATGTAAGTAGTAGGCAGGGTGGAGTCAGTGGAATTTAAATAGAAACCAACAGATATAAACCAAGTTTTCTGTGATACAATGGCTTTAAGCAGTAAATGGCTACCTGAAGGTGTGGGATAGCCATTTGAATATTGTCAAAGGATTACTAGCAGGCTTGTATCATGGATTAGAGAAGGGAAACCCTTCTTTTCAGTGGAAATGTAGTCTAGCCAATGAGGCTTTTTGGAAAAGCATCTCCCTCAGAGAGAGGGGGCAAAAAGCAATGAGATTCCATTGAGCCATTCAATCATCCAACTACAATCTCTTGAGCTTAAGCAAAAATTCAATATATAAGCAATACATGTCAGAGTAGTGACTAGAGGGCTTCCCTGACTATCAATGCTTTGGAGGAATTCTCCAAGGGACCTGGAGTCCTAGCAAGCTGTTTCTTGTTTGGTGGTACTGACAGAATATAAAATGTACCACCAGGAATATAAAATGATGGCTCTCTCTTCTAGCTTATAAATTAAGAAAGAGTGGGCATATAAAAGTTGCTCTCAAAAGTATAACAAATAGTGCAGTAAGATATGAAAGTCTTAGTGTGAGTCTAATTTCAGTGTCTAATGCCTTGTCTATAAATCTGTTGTTCAACATTATTAATATATAGCACCAAACATGGGGATGATAAATACAGGCGGCTCAGCAAATTTGTATGTATAGACAAAGGACTGGGAGAAATACCATTACTGAAAATGCTTTGTTCATTGGGGTCTTAATATATAACAGCACCTACTGCAGTGTGGAATGCAGAAGTAGGCAGATCCTTCCAGCAGCATTTAAAAAAGGCTTTATGTTGGGGACACCAGGAGAGCTTTGTTAGAACCTTATTTTACCTCTATTTTACCTTTACCATGACATGCCAGAGGTGTGTCTCCCAGAGGGAGGCCTGTTCATTTAACTTTTATAAATATTTTCACCCTCAGGGGTTCCAAAACACTTTATAAAGTAGATTTCAGGCTGGGCATGGTGGCTTGCACCTGTAATCCCAGCACTTTGGGAGGCCAAGGTGGGCAGATCACCTGATGTCAGGAGTTTGAGACCAGCCTGACCAATATGGTGAAACCTCGTCTCTACTAAAAATACAAAAATTAGCCAGGCATGATGGCATGTGCCTGTAGTCCTAGCTACTCAGGAGGCTGAGACAGGAGAATTGCTTGAACCCAGGAGGTGGTGGTTGCAGTGAGCTAAGATCATGCCACTGCATTGCATTCCAGCCTGGGTGACAGAGCAAGATTCCACAGCTTCTCTCATGTGGATAACCCTTGTTGGCTTCCATATATGGAGGAGAAACCTCATACATTTTGTAGGCAGAGCCAGTTCACTCTTGATGAAATAGTCACTGGAATAGCCCAGGGCCAAAGAACTTCCTTCTGAGAAAATATTTGAATTGAGCAAAATTCTCACTTTAAAATCTGCATTAAGCTCTCAGGTTACCACGAACTTCACTGGGCTAAACTTGGGCTAGATTGGACTGAACTTGGATCAGAAGCTACACAGGGCCATTTTCCTGTCCAGGTGAGAAAGAGTTGCTTGGAACAGACAGTAAGGGGAACAGCCCCAGGGAAGCTGCAGAATTCTTTCTGTGACCTTCTGATGCTTCTGAGATTTGAACTTTGGCTTCCATCCAGTTGGATTTCCTACCTGTCCCCACTACCCCATTTAATTAATCTGCTCTTGCTTGTTACCCTAAGCACACAGGCTGATTCTTTTGGTTCCTGGTTATTTGCTCTGTGTTGCCCTGCTTTCCTTGGCTTGAGACCTGATCTAACCGCTGTGCACTCAGATACTACTTTTAACTCTTTATGCACCATAGTCCTTGGATTCTGCTGCTCAGTCAGTTTTGTCCCAAGAAACATGGCAAGTAGGCCAGAACTAAGTCATCACTTGTGATTACTAAACTAAGTAGGGATTAGCTCCTGACTTCTTTGTCAGGCAATGAGGTTTAAGAAAAGTTTTTAAAAAATACTTGATTATGACCGGGCGCGGTGGCTCATGCCTATAATCCCAGCACTTTGGGAGTCCGAGGTGGGTGGATTGCCTGAGCTCAGGAGTTCGCCAACAGCCTGGGCAACACGGTGAAACCCCATCTCTACTAAAATACAAAAAATTAGCCCCAAAAATTAGCTGTAGTCCCAGCTACTTGGGAGGCTGAGGCAGGAGAGTTGCTTGAACCTGGGAGGCGGAGGTTGCAGTGAGCCGAGATGGTGCCAGCGCACTTCAGCCTGGGTGACAGAGCGAGACTCCATCTCAAACAAATGAACAAACAAACAAACGAACAAAAAAAACTTGATTATAGTAGGGCTACTTTTTAAATTTTTCCCTTTTCTTCTATCAATATTTTGCCCCTTAAATTATGTTTGTCATTATTAAATATTATGCATAAGCAAGTGCTAAAATAGATCTTTCCAGTGAGTTTCTAGCTATAGACGCTTTCCAGCCACAGCACATGTCGGGCATTGTAGCCATCCCATTGGTTTATGTAAACATCAGTTGAAGTGAGCGGAAGGATGGGGTCAGGGAGGCAGGTAGAGGAGGAAGAATGGTCAGCAGGAGCAGCCTCCTGGCATCACATCAACTACAAGAGCTAATTATCTTGAGTGCTAAGCATCTACCACGCATTTTTTTAATGCAATCTTTAGAACTGCACTGGGAAGTCTGTTTCTATTGCTGATTTGGATGTGGAGAAATTGAGGCTTAGTGATGTTCTCCTGTTTACACAGCCAATAGGTATAGGGATTTAAATTCAGACCCATCTAACTGCACAGCGTGAATGCTTAATCATCTTGTTAAATTGCTTTTACACTTTTATGAGTTGGTTGAAAAAATATTTAATGATTGACATTTACTAAAAATCCAATATGCCCTTCAATAAATTTGTATTTTGTCAATTACACATTGAAAGACACATGGAAAACAGCAGAACTCTCATTGAGAAGTGAGGTCTAATTGCCCTCTGCTTGAATCACAGGCTGGTCCTGTGAGTGCTTTGAGCAACAGAATGACACTGTGTGGTTTCCAAGGCTAGGGCATAAGAAGCCTTGCTGCCTCTCTCTGCCTTTTAAAAATACGTCCGTTTTGGGTGCTATCTTTTGCAACCTAGCCACTCTGAGAAGCCCCATGTACATAGAAATTTCACATATAGGTGTTGTGGTTGACAGCCTCAGCTGAGCTTCCCACCAAGAACCAAAAATAGGCAATTGTACGAGCATGACATCTTGAATGTTCCAGCCCAGCCAAGCCCCCAGATGACTGTTGACATCCTAGCACTTCAGCCAGTACCATGTGGAGCAGTGGAACCACCAATCCACCCACAGAATTAGAAGAGAAGAATACATTTTTTTTTTTGGCTTCTCATGGGTGGGGGGGTTGCTACACAGTAATAGATATCTGAAACACACATCTGTGTGTGATAATATGCTGTATGTAGTCTGCACACAGTGAATGACTGTGCTCATAGTGATTCAAGGATCTCTGGCAATAACTGCAGTCCCATGAGGTCTGAGGCCCACTGTTTGGGACCAGAGAAGAGGCTCATGGGAAGCCTCCTATAGTGATGCATATCATGTATATTGGCAACATCATAATTCATCTGAGTCCCAGACGGTATTCTCAATTGTCCCAGATGGTGTTCTCAATTGTCTCACAGAGGATGGAAACTTTCTGTGGGGTGCCATGGAAAGTTGAGTTAAAATGCACACACACACACCCATAATTTAGATGATCTCAAATGAACAGTATGTATCTGGGTGACATTTGAAAGAAGCAGCCATTTGGATTTCTCTCTTCCAAAGACAAAATACAGGCTAAATGATGCATCAGTAAGTGCTTTTACCAGGCATTCTTAATAGCCTTGGTTTATATGCCTATAATTCTAACATGGGATTTCAGAATGCAATAAACAAAGAACAAAGTGCAACCATTTTACGATATTATTAAAATAGTGCATATAATTGTTGTCTAGTAATCAGAATATTTTAAAAGATACTTGATTATAATGGGTGCTACGTTTTAAATATTTCTCTTAACATTAATTCATCTATATAGGAAGTTTTTTTTTTGTTTGAGATGGAGTTTGGCTCTTTTTGCCCAGGCTAGTGTGCAATGGCATGATCTCGGCTCACTGCAACCTCCGCCTCCTGGGTTCAAGTGATTCTCCTGCCTCAGCCTCCCGAGTAGCTGGGATTATAGGTGCCCATCACCATGCCCGGCTAGTTTTTGTATTTTTAGTAGAGATGGGGTTTCACCATGTTGGCTAGGCTGGTCTCAAGCGCCTGACCTCAGGTGATCTGCCTGCCTTGGCCTCCCAAAGTGCTGGGATTACAGGTGTGAGTCACTGTGCCCAGCCTAGATAAGAAGTTTAAAAATTATTCTTTTAAAAACATGATCTTAGTTTTTAAGCTTTGGTTACATTCTTTTGGTTATGATAGTTACTGTTTATTGTGCACCATGTGCCCTACATGACGGTGAACCTTTCCGTAGCCCCGCAAGGTAGTTATGACCATCCCCCCCTTATAGGTGGAGAAACTGAGGCTTAGAGAGCTTAAATCTCTTGCTCAAGGTTACTTGCTTAATAACTGCAGAGCCAGGATTTGAACCAGAGTCTAGTCGACTCCAGAGTCATGGACTCATGCCATCTTCTATGACTGCACCTCACATTGCCCTTCTAAAGAGCTTATGATTCAAAAGGCAATTTGTAATAAAGAGCCAGACTGGAATGGAGGGTTTAAAAGCGCTGCCTGCCCTTTCGGGTATAAAACATTTTGTTAGAAGCAATAACAGCACAATTACAGCAAATGTCTCCACCTTCACTGTCGGTTACTGCACACAGGTCTAGGTTACAAGTTCAAAATTTCACTGATTATTGGTGCATAATTGGCTTCATGTGGATGATAAACGTATTACTGATTGATTATCATGACTTGGTCATATTTGAAATGTCAAAGTAGAAAATTGAATTGTCATATTATCACATGTTCTCATTCAAGCACCAGATAAATATTACAAATGATGATTTTCCACTGAGTACTGTATAAAGAATTTATGGAATATTAATAATACTGTTATCCACAACCTTCATGCTTGGTGGATGACCCCAAACTGAAATCATGTTTGACTTTTGAGGAATAAACCTTAAGAATGATCTGATTCAAACCACTTCTCTGCTGCCTACAGTTTCATAAAGTAAATATTCCTAAGGACAATACTTGCCTCCCTTAGAGAGAATTGGACATTTATGACCTGCCCGATAAGGCTTTTTTTTTTTTTTTTGCTTCACCCTTTTACAACTCTCCATGTTATGGCAGTCAAGGTGTCTTCTGAGGTGAAATCACATCTTCAAAGAGAATCAAGTGGTTGCTCCGAGACAGTCCAGGCTCAGTCTCCAATCCTCAACCCGGTGAAGACACCGACAGCTTTCAAAAATGCTGCTGTCAACCATCTGAAGAAATCCAACATTAGTTTCCCTTTTCCTGACTGGTCTAACCTCTCTGCTTTCACCAGGGCACTGGGGACTTCTTTCCACAGACCTAGTTAAGTAGAGTCTGGGAGGAAAACCTTGGAGATTAAAGGCTGGAACAAGAGATGTCAGCTTGTGAGACGCAGGTCTCTACTCTGGGCCCTTGAAAGTTTTTTTTGAGACAGAGTCTCGCTCTGTCGCTCAGGCTGGACTACCGTGGCGCCATCTCGGCTCACTGCAAGCTCCGCCTTCCGGGTTCACGCCATTCTCCTGCCTCAGCCTCCCGAGTAGCTGGGACTACAGGCGCCTGCCACCACGCCCAGCTAATTTTTTGTATTTTTAGTAGAGACAGGGTTTCACTGTGTTGGCCAGGATGGTCTTGATCTCCTGACATTGTGATGCTCCCGCCTTGGCCTCCCAAAGTGCTGGGATTACAGGCGTGAGCCACCGCGCCCGGCCGAAAGTATTAAAGTGTTCTTCAGATTCCTAAGTGCACGAAGCATTGCCTGTGGACCGAATAAACCACACTTTTTAGAGACAGGGTCACTCTCTGTCACCCAGACTGGAGTCCAATAGCACAGTCTTGGCTCACTGCAGCCTCAAGTTCCTAGGCTCAAGGAATCCTTTTGCCTCAGCCTCCCAAGTAGCTGGGGCTACCAGCGTGTGACACTGTGTCCAGCCTTAAAAATTTTTTTGGAGAGACAAGTTGCCCAGGCTGGTCTTGAACTCCAGGCCTCAAGGGATCCTCCCACCTCAGCCTCCCAAAATATTAGGATTACAGGTGTCAACCACTGCACCCAGCCTCACACAATTTAACTATTTTTAGATATATGTAGAATGTAGATACTGCTATGTTTAATACAACTTATTTTAAGATCACATTGAATTTATAATACCTTTCAACAATATATATTTTTAAATAGATAATGATTTTAAAAGTATAACAGGGGGTGCAAGGAATTTTTTTTCTTTCTCAAATTAGCCAGAGCCATAGACTGGGCCAGGAACTGTTTGTTCAAATATGTTGCTCTGGAGAGCTAGGAGGACAGCCAGGGGAATGTAGTTCCTGCCCACCAAACCCTGCTAGTTGATGTGGCAGTTAAGGAAAACTTATGTTCTAGTGTTTTTATGATTCTTTTGGGTAGACTAAATGTACAAGTTCCTTAAGCACTCCAGGTCTGCTCTAGGACTCAGTGTAATCATTCTTTCATCCTTCCTAGGTACTGTTACCCTTAGGTCTCCATGGCTAGAACCTAAATATTTTTCAAACCTCCATTTCATTGTATGCCCTATAGATAGTAGGTGCTCAATAAATGCTGGTTAACGCTGAAGAAGCTGCTTTGCTCTAAACATACCTCTTACCAAATCATCACTGTTAATCACGTTCATATTCAGGGTGTTATCTCTGCAGTGAATGAAGCATCCCTGGGTTAGAGAGAAAAGGAAATCAATGCTTTATAAATGTCATTGAAAATGTGTCTTTTCTGCTCCTCCTTGTTATTCAGAAAAGACACAAAATGTGTTCTAATTTGAATTAGCCACCTGGCTTTTAGAAGTGGCTTCTTAATTTAATGTCTGGTATCCATTTTTCTTTCTTATACTGCACATCGTTATGTTTGAAGTGGAAACACCAGAAGAGCATGGATACTTTTTGACTCCTAAATATGTAGTAAATATGAACCCCAGGATAATTCAGTGTTTTACAAGCCACAATGTTCTCTCTTTCTTTGTGTTCTGTACCTAATGTTTCTTTAGTTAGTAGTACCAAGGCTCAACTAGTTCCCTAGTGAAGCCATATGATGGATAACCCAGCTTTGGTTGGGTAACCTATGAGCACAATGGGCATCTGTAATCTTGCGTTTATGGAAAATGCCAAACAGCTGTCTTTGTGACTGAACCTACTTGGAGCTAGTACAATTCTTGCCAGACTCCAAATGCCTCCTGGGTCAGTATGTAATTAGTATACAAATTTCATGCACTGTAATGTGGGCCAGTTGCTCAAACACTGATGGACTTCAACATCCCCCAGTGACCTTGTTAAAATGCAGACTTGAGCCCCACTCTCCTACCTTATAATCCACTGAATTAGGGGTGGGGCATAAGAGCCTTCATTTTTACCAGCCACTCTAGGTGATTCTGATGCCTGTGTTCTGGTGTACAGAATTGCAGGTGTGGCAGGGAAGATGGGAACTGGTGCTTTGAACATGATTAGGATTTAGACAGGGAGGGGGAAGGCATTCAAGAGTGGAGGTGGGGCTGGACGCAATGGCTCACACCTGTAATCCCCTCCTAGCCTCAAGTGATCCACCCGCCTCAGCCTCCCAAAGTGCTGGGATTACAGGCGTGAGCCACTGAGCCCATCCAGGAGTTCAAAACCAGCCTGGCCAACATGGTGAAACCCCGTCTCTACTAAAAATACAAAAAATTAGCTGGGTGTGGTGGCGGCGTATCTGTGGTCCCGGCTACTCAGGATGAGTATTGAGGCATGAGAATTGCTTGAACCAGGAGGCAGAGGTTGCAGAGAGCTGAGATTGTGCCACTGCACTCTATCCTGGGTGACACAGTAAGACTCTGTCTCAAAAAAAAAAAAAAAGAAAAAGAAAAGAGTGGAGGTGGAATACATGAGTGGAAGGAAGTACACAGGAGACTGAGTTTGAGGTAGTAAAGTGTGGAGTGAGGAGTGTGTGCACTGAGGTCTGACAGACCTGCTTCACTCATGAGTCTCCGTGCTTTGCCACTGGCAACCTTTAAGACCTGGACAGGTTATTTCACCTCGATGCCATCTCTACCATGGGCATAATAATGGCATCTATCTGTGAGGGTTGGTGTGAGAATTAAATGAAAATATGCACATATGCACTTAATGTGCTCAGTGTATGTCAAGGCCTTAGTAAACATTAGCTTTTATTATGC